>NC_000010.11:6525151-6676666 GCF_000001405.40 Homo sapiens | reverse complement strand
TGTTCACTCTGATGGAAGTTTCTTTTGCTGTGCAGAAGCTCTTTAGTTGAATTAGATCCCATTTGTCAATTTTGGCTTTTGTTGCCATTGCTTTTGGTGTTTTAGTCATGAAGTCCTTGCCCATGCCTATGTCCTGAATGGTATTGCCTAGGTTTTCTTCTAGGGTTTTTATGGTTTTAGGTCTAACGTTTAAGTCTGTAATCCATCTCGAATTAATTTTTGTATAAGGTGTAAGGAAGGGATCCAGTTTCAGCTTTCTGCATATGGCTAGCCAGTTTTCCCAGCACCCATAAAAGAATTTTAAAACAGAACTGTAGGACAAAATGTTAATCAGTGGGAGGTACTTGTGTTATCTGGAACAACATCTCAAATTTCTACTGCTTCAGTGTCTTTAAATACTACCACTGGCTTACCTAGTATCTGTGGTGTTTTAGCACTTTTTGTCTCAAGCTCCTTACGATAGATTTTTAAAATGAGTTTGTTTCTTGAACAATGAGAACACATGGACACAAGGAGGAGAACATCACACACTGAGGCCTGTCAGGGGTTGGGGGGCAAGGGGAGGGAGAGCATTAGGACAAATACCTAATGCATGCGGGGCTTAAAACCTACGTGATGGGTTGATGGGTGCAGCAAACCACCATGGCACAAGTTTACCTATGTAACCTGCACGTTCTGCAGGTGTACCCCAGAATTTAAAATCAAATAAAATTAAAATAAGTAAAATAAAATAAAAAAAGAGTGTGTTTCTGTCCATAAAATCGTTTCCTTTTATCCAGTCTCTTCTTTTTTTCCTTACTGTGAGACTTGATTCTCTGAGATGGCGGACCTTTCAGAGCACCACTTCGGAAACTGGCCTCGCTCTTTAAGAAGTCAAATAACCTACATGAAGTGGCTCGAACGGAATTGAGAATTAAAAAGCAGAATGGTTTACCATAAACTAAGAGGCACAGATTAATTCATAAAGCTGAAAATATTCTTAGACAGACTGTTAACTGCCATATAAGAAGGATGTTGTTAATTTAATGTAACAAAAGGGTGCCATAGAAAGGATGCATTTTATAAATCAGGTCACCCCTACAGGGTGGTCACACCTACACGTCATTTTAGGAAAAGAACAGTCAGGCCATGACTCACCCAGGAAGACGGTCAGCGTGATGGTGAAGAGGGACGGTAAGAAGAACCCCTATCCAGGAGTGGGGAATAAAACAACTAGGATGATTTGGAAATGGAGAAAACTCCATGGAGGCTGCTCCAGGAGACCTCAGCTGTCTGAAGGCCAGGCACACTAAAGGAATGCACAGCTTTTTCTGTGAGGCTCCAGAAGTCAGAGGCGGAACCCATGCATGGATTCATCAAGAGGCTAGAAATCAGCTCTCTAAACAGAACAATTCACTTGTTTTTGGAACAAGCCTTTAAATGGAACAAGCCTCAGGTATGTTGTCATCTAAGTTCTGATTCTACCTCGACCACACATACCATTTGCCTCAATATGTCAACCAAGCAAGGTAAGAATTATACGTATTTCAAGACAAAAATCTTGATAAAGTCACCATTTGTTTCAGAAATATGTTTTTGTTTCTATTGAAATACAATTCAGTACAATTCAATTCAATTTAGAACAATTCTCTAAAATGCACTTGTTTCTAAATATTGAGATTTCTTAAAAGGTAATGATGTGTCTTGCACAGGTTTCCATGCTAAGCAGCCATCCAGCTTGGGTGTTCTACAGAGAGTTTCTATGTGAGGTTGTGGGTTCCAGGAGTTGCCCTGTTATCTCTCTAAGGTCCTCGTCAACTCTAAAACTCAAGGATTATGTGATGTTGCTGGGACAATTTCTACACTGAGAGGGAGTTTAAACTATATACCAGATGAATCTTGATTCCCTCCATCCCCTAAATTCTTTGTTGTTGTTGTTGGACAGTACACCAGGAATCATACATCAGAGTTTCACCTTTTTTTTAAGTCCCATAGACACATCTCTTAATCAAGAGATGTGGTCTATACAGAATGATCCATTTTGTAGTAAGAATAAGTCCACAAACCAATGAGTAGACTTGCCCCCAAGAGCCTACTAGTAAAAACTATAAAGCATATTGCTGCAGTTTTGCGCTAATAAGCATTGCAAAGCACTGAGATTTTCTAATTTTCTAGTTCCTGTTTTTTATGACGACATCTGTGGACCTAAACTTGGCACTCAGCATAGCACATCTGTGCCAGAAATTGCAAAGGTAGACAAGAGCAGAAAAGGAAGTGGATGTTGTTCAGGAATAACGAATAGAAAAAAAGAAGGGAGATGGGGTTTTTGTTTGTTTCTGTTTTGTTTTTATAATTCACTTTTTACAGACAGAAACAAAACAGAAAATACCCACCATAAGATCCTGTGGCTTGAAGAATTGTTTACTCTGTAATCTTTTTTAGATAGATCCAAGATCAGTGAAATGATCCAGTGGATTCTGAGCTGGTACAGGCAGCTGTGAGCTCTCCATGAGGATCCGCTTCCATATTGAAGTGACTGCTTTGGTGGATCGAGCTGCATTTTCAAGATCATTATTGTTTCCAAACAAATAACCCTTTAAAACTTTTATTATATTTCTCTTCCAAAAATTGGTAAAATTTCCTTCTAAATGTTTACAGTTTTTGCTTTTTTGTTATTTCATGTTCAACTCACTTCGAAAGGCAGAAAACCCCAATCCTACCATACCTCTAATAATTCTATGCTGTTTTTCCTTCTGAAATGGACAATAATTATTGGCTGTTTCCTGACACCTAAGCTAAGATAATCATGAATGTCAATGGTACTCACAGAAGAAAAGGGAGTTTGAAGTACCTGTATTCTCTCGGAGAGTCTGATGTTTTTGGAACAAGCCTTTAAATGGTGCAAGCCTCGGGAATGTTTTTTACGTTGTGATTGTACGTCAACCACACATATCATTTTGCCTCCATAGGGCTTATTAAGTCAACCAAGCAAGGTGAGAATTGTACGTATCTCAAGAAAAAAATCTTCATAAAGCCACCGTTTATTTCGGAAATATGTTTTTATTTCCATTGACATATTTAGAGAGAGAACAAATATTGAGTATGAAATAATTCTGTTCACTAAAAGAGATGGCTTCCCATTGCATTGTTGCAGGTAGTTTTCATTGAACCACTAGTTGCTAAAACTAATGACTACCTTTGACCTCCCTCGGAAATAATAACTGATGATACCATCCAATTATAGTTTCCAGAATAGTTCTCTTCTCTTCTTTAGAACAGAAGGCAGCAGCAGTAAAATGCAATTAGCAAGAACTGCAGGGAAAGCATATTTTCTAGACTGGGTGACAATGTTGAGTTTGACTCAGTAAAAAAAAAAAAAAAAAAAAAAAAAAGGTGGTTTTATTTTCTCCCTTTGATGGAAATTTTGACTGCTAATGTCTCTATATATTTGAAGTGTTTTGATATTGTATAAGAAACACTGCCCCAGGGGTAATGGTAACTGAATATTGAAGGAGGAGAACCGAGGTAGTTGGTGGTAACCAAAGCCAGGGAGGGATGGACTGTTTCCCAGACTCCGACAATGTCAACTGTCTTTACTCTTCCAGTGAACTGGGAATTAGAAGAAAACACAAAGCAGGAATAGGCACGTACAGAGATGTTTAAGATGACAAAAATGATTTTAAAAAGAAAAAATAATCTTCTGGAAGTTTCAGTAGAAAGCTGGCATAGGCTCCCAAAGTGATGACATGATCGTGTCCAGCATTCCTTCCTGGCTTCTAGCCCTAGAAAAACACTCGCAGGCCAGGGGTGGTGGCTCATGCCTGTAATCCTAGCACTTTGGGAGGCCAAGGTGGGTGGATTACTTGAGGCCAGGAGTTTGAGACCAGCCTGGCCAACATGGCAAAACCCCTTCTCTACTAAAAATACAAAAATTAGCTGGGCATTGTGGCGCATGCCTATAATCCAATCCCAGCTACTCCAGGGACTGAGGCACGAGAATAGCTTGATATCTGGGAGGCAGAAGTTGCAGTGAGCCGAAATCATATCACTGCACTCCAGACAGCAGAGTGATACTCGGTCTCAAAAAAAAAAAAAAAAAAACACTCATTTTTTCACGCATTCAATAGACATTTTCAAGCGTGTTATGTATCTGCAGGGATGTGAGCTCAAGGGGTTCAAAATCCAGTGCAAGGTGAGGAGAGGGAGGGGAGACATGGTCCAGAAAATAGTTACAGAGAGGATGCTTCCAGGATTGGCAGAATCAGTCTCAGTTACCAGTTTGTGAGCATGCATGAAAAATGGGAAAAATAGAAGAAAAAAGCATAAAGAAGAGAGGACACAGTCAGGTTTTTAGGGGCTGAAGCCAAAAGAACTCTGAATCTGGTGCAAGATGCCCCCAAATCCAGAGAAAATGTAAGGGAGTATCCGTCTCATTTCAGCACCATGCCTGGAAGGAAGTCCAGGAACAGGTCACGGAGGGATTTGAGATTCCCAGCAGACTTGGCAGCGATCTGACATCCGCTTTTTTGACCCTGGGAATTGAATGTCTCATGTGTTTGTGCAAAGCTGACCTGATCGTATTTGAATTCTTCTTCTCTGACTCCCTATTGTGCATTTCCTCTGTATTTCCAATATGCATGGGTTAGCCTTTCCTTAAAATAGTGGAGAGAGGTCACTTACATATTTTATACACACGCAAAATGAGGTGCCAAAATCTTGGTTTAGTCCCCTGAGAGTGGCCAAGGGCTCTGAAGATCTAAGTTCTGAAAGCTGTTCCTCCTTCAGCCATCTCGAGTGTCTTCAGGGATATGATATCACACATATCACACATATCATTTTCAGAGAACAGATAATAACATTGGCAGAAAATCATTAACTCAATAGATTCCATCCTAAAGGGGGAAACCATGGTTTATAATTCATCTGATATCACTCAGAATTTTCTATAACAAACTGGATTTTCGTTAAATGAAGAGAGATCGTAGGTAAGTACCTCAACAGGGAATGGGTTGCACCTGCTTTACTTAAAACTCTCATTCCTCAGTGCTCTGTAAAAGAACTGCAAGCATCCATCTGTACTGTGATCGACAATGTCTTTAACTTCTTTGGCACAAGTACTCTGGTGGCCCTTTGGGTTCCATGTTAGGCCCCGTCACACTTTCCGAAACTTGCAACTTGAGCTTACTGTTGAATAAAAAGCGTTGGCCAAGCAAAGTTAAATTGTCTACCCTCCCAGTTAAATTTTAGGCCTAGAAACCCCTTCCCATTTTAGACTGAGATTGTGAAGACTTATTTTCTGTCCATTCATGAGAGGAACTAAATTTGCTGTACTTTCACAAGTAAAAATTAAGAGCTTCTTCGAGTATCTGGCAGAAAAGCTAATTAGGCCAACTAATCTTCATGGCAGTAAGTGTCTTTCATATAACCTTGCCTCTGCTTTCTCCAACCAGTTGCTGTTGGTTCTGCCTGCAGATTTCTGGGCCAACCCCAAAAGGGGCAAGAAGCAGAACAGAATCCTCATTCTTGCTGCTAACAGATTTAGTAACTAGGGATTCAGGGGAAGCTCAGAGTGCCCACTTAATGTACCTCCTGCCCCACTATCTTAATCCAGTACATAGGATTGAGTTTCTGCCTCAGTTTCCCTAACAAGCAATCCAATGCATGCTCAGGGTCTAAGCAGTGCTCTAAGTGCCAGCCCTCTTGGTTCAAACATTCCAACCTCTTGCCTTACCCACTGGTTATAATACTACTGTGATGTCACTGCCCTGGGAATCTTCCACTTTTCAGGCAAGGCTTGTCTGATACAAACACTTGCACAAAACAGGCCAGAGCTAAGGACATATTTTATCCACCATGCCTTAAAGAGCTTTTTAAACAAAGAGCTAGGTCCATTTCCCAGTAACTGTCCTGTCTGGCCTCAGTGTCCCTCCTTCCTGTTCTGTTTACCTAAAAAGCAAAGTGATCTGTTTATCCCCAGCCAGAGCACCCACAAAGTACAGGCACATGTAGCTGAGGCATCCCAGCAGGATGCAGCTTCCACTGCCTCTAAGATAAGTGCCAGAGAAGGGCGAGAGAACACTATCAACCCAGAAGACGGTGCCCCAAAACTTCATTATACTTCATTTCCTCTGTATCCAGACTTCCTTCCCATCTACTTGCAGTATATTATCACTGTCCCTTGACATTGACAAGTGACACAGCTTTGCTTTTTCAGAAAGAGAATAATTAATAAATGCCCTTAACCCTATCACCATAACCACTTTTTAAATATATGAGAACAAAGGCATCATCGCCCTCATAAATCTCTTTCATTCCAAATAGTACCATGACCCTGTTTATCACATGAAAGCTAGATATGAAGCCAGGAATTCTCTTCACTTCGATTATTTGTTCATTATTAATGGCATAGAAGTACCATTGATTTTGTATATCGTGCTTGTATCCTGCAACTTTGCTGAACTCACTTCATTCTTTTTCAATTCTAATATCTCCATTTGGTTCTCCTTTGTATTTCTATTCATTTGCTGAGACTTTCTATTTTTCTCATTCACAGATTTTATTGTGTTCTCACCACACAGAGAATATTGTAACTATGTGACCTGATGTATATGTTAATTAGCTTGATTGTGGTAATTATTTTATAACGTACACATATATCAAAACATCCTATTATAAACCCTCAATCGATGCCATTTGTATTTGTTGAGTATACCTCAATAGGGCTGGAAAAAAATTCTCACAAAACAAGAGTGGCAAACAATTTATCTCAAGAAATTTCAAAAAGGAATCATAGCAGCTACCATTTATGGGGCATTTCACCTATGTTGGAAATATGTGCCTCCTACACGTTATTTCATGTAATTCTTGCAATAATTATGGGATATAGGCAAATATTATCATCCCGTTCCAGAGGCTCAGAGAGGCTAAGTGGTTTGTCCAAGGTTACCCAGTCAGTATGAACCTGAGCCCAACTTGACTCCAAATTTGTTTGACTTTCAATCTAATCTCTTAAATCCTATGTGCATTGTTTTCCATAAACTCCCTCTGGCAGCAAAATAGGTATTGGGAGTTCTTTCCAATATTAAAATAACAATAAACTGTTCCATAATGAGAACATTTAACTATTTTCTTTAAGTGCTTGTCCACTTTACCATATAATGGACTATTTGCGGATGACTTGAATTACAAATAGGGAGACATCTTGAGTTAATTTCTGCTTCCCTCTTGTGTCAGAGACCGGTAATGACAATCGCAAGGGCTGTATACATTGACTTCTGCCTCATTTATCTCTCCCTTTTATTTGTCTTGTAAATGATTCCATTTCTTCTCTGTCTGAATGACTGAAAAGGCTGAATTTGAAAATTTGATCTGTTAGCAAAATATATCCCAGCTCCCTTGAAACTCTCAGTAAAATGTATCTATTTCCTTAAAAGCAACAATTTCAGTGTGTGATAGAAAGAGATTAAATCAATACAACACAACACAATAAACCTTCTTTGTCTCATGTCTTCTATAAAACCCGCCTCAAAACAATTTTCAATCTTAAGTAATACCATTACCAAGTTATAGGCAGCTCCCTGAGGAAACCTGAAGGAATGCTGAGCCGTAATGGGCTTCGGGGCTATTTCAGAGCATTAGTCTCTGGTTTATAAAATACAGGGGAATCTTTGCTTTTCACATAATGTCTCCAAAAATTCATGCTATTTATTGCACCATTAAATGCTTTAGAAGGACTTTCTATGTAAAGAAAACCTTTGGTGGATCATTTTCTAAAACAAATGAAGACTCCTCAATTTTAACTGCTTTACAAATTCACTTCTTATGTGGATCAGATTTACTTTGGGACGATCTAGAATTTTTATTTAAAGGGGCCTGTGGGTAGATTTGGCCACTGTTTTTTCTTAGATGGTGCATTTCTCCAGGGTGGTTTCAGGGGGTGGCTGTGGATGCTGTTGATTAAGATGCTCAAGGTTCGCCCATTACCAGTCATCCCCCTTGGCACTACCACTAGGATTACCCTTAAATATCTCTTATTTCTTCTACACAAATAGATAAGACTGTAGTAAAGTCCAGATGCCCACCTTTACATGTCCAATTTTTTCTTTTCTCTGGCTTATTGTGAATAATGTGTCACCCAAGCCAATACCAGCACCTTTCTGAAGATTACTATATCTGAAATGTGCAGAGCTGGCTTTGTTACTTAAGGATGCTGAAGCAAACTATATCATAACACAGAAAATAACTATAAGCCGCATGTTCCTCATAGCCATGCCTTGCTCCCTGAAGAAGCAAGTGCTGGGAAGTATGCCAGAAGGAAGAATAAAGGATACTTTGGGCACAGTGTGGTGCAACTGTCCTTTCCTCTTCTCGATTAGGGAAACTTGGTAAGTGATTGGAGTGGCAACACCCCAGCAGAACGAGACGTTTACAGAGAGAATCCACTAGTGTCTATACTATACTATGTAACACGGTATTCACTATACACACGGGCTTCTTAATTTTCAACTCATTAAAATTAAGTAAAACTAAAAATTCAGTTGCTCAGTTACATTAGCCAAAGGTGCCCATGGCTACTACGGTGGGTAACATGATATAAAACATTTCTATCATCACGGAAAGTTCTAAAGTGCTGATCTGGACAACTTCGTTTCACAGGAAGTTTATTGGCTCTGACAAGTTCATAATAAATGGCCCAAAGAATCAAGATTGAGAATCCTCAGATAGCTTTCCCTTTATAACTACAAGGGGTTAAGTCTGACATAGGTAACCAAAGAATCGAAAAAAGCAGGATTTACAAATTGCACAGGGCCAGGAGGGGGAGCTATGATCCTCTGACATTGAGTCTGACTCTTCCCCGCTACTGGAAATTGGATATTGCACAGCTGTGGCTGGATTAAGGCATCAAAATAATACAAGTCTAGTTTTGCTATAACTGTAGAATAGTTATAGCAAAATAAAAAAAACTTTTGTGACACTCTTAATTTTCGACATTTTAGAAGAAAAAAACTGATAGATTTTTTTATAGCAAATAAGCATCAGGTCATTACACAAAGTATATACAAAATAGCACTACATAATTTTCAAGGCAATGTACATATCTAAATACATTTATGGGATTCATTTGGAATGCACTGTCAATACACACAGTGACTTAGAGCTGTGATATGAGTGAACACCGATGACTTTTCCATCTCAGACTCCTGAAATGCAGTGGAAGAGGGGATGTCCAGTTACATGTTGATGAATAAAAATAGCAAAGGAAATATATAAGTAGAAAGCCCATAATAAGACAGAGTCTCCCAGTCATCCACACGACCACAACAGTCCCATTTAGTAAACTGTACTGCAGTTCCCTGAGTGATGGTCTGGTGTCCGTAATGAATAGTGCCTCTGTCCAATGTACCAACGTCTGGCCCTCAGGAAAAAAAAATATATATATATAAAATATATATAAAATATATAAATATATATAATATATATTTATATATTATATATCATATATAACATATATTATATATCATATATAACATATATAAATATTATATTGTATATATCATATATATAATTTATATATAAAATATATATATATATATATAAAATAATGTGCTGGGCTCATCTGACTTTTGTACGTAAGGCCCTGCACATGGAAAGTTGTCCACTTAGATAACAGGAATTATGCAGCATCAAATATGTCATTACCATACATCTAGAAGCATTTAGAGCCTTTCTAAATTTTATAACCACAGGACAGATTTGACATGATGGAGTTAACATTCATGCTTCAGCTATTTGTGAGTCATACGTGAAGGATATTTTATGTGTCCTTTTGTGGAGGCTTGATTTGGAGACAGGAGTCAGTCCCTGGGGTCTTTAGTGACCGTCTTCAACTAGGCTGCATTGCATCCCAATCGTGACACAACCTCACTGCGGCCAGGCAGTAAATTCAATGAGTAGATATTGTCAACCCCATTGCACTGATGAAGAAGCTGAGAAGAGTATGTCTGCAGTGGTGGTTTGGTAATGGACTATCTCAATGATTTCTAGACGCATCTCTTGTAAATTATTCATCCCAAATGTCAGGTATCTACTTTGTTGGCTCTTCTTTGAAAATGCCACATGGAAGAAAATCCCTCAACCATATGAGAACTGTCTTAACTGCCTTTGTCTGTTTTCTGTCTTCTTTTTTTCAGAACCAGCTCTCACAAGTGCCTCTAATGAATTTGGCTGCTTATTGGGCTTATCAAATATAGGGTAACTTCATATTTGCATTGCAAATTCATCACCTAAAGAATGAGCTGACATTTCATTTGTTTCTAGGCAGGTCTTCAAGTCTTCCAATTGGAGCACGTATTCTAGATATACTAAAATATATCCGAATAGATTTTTAAAATTTTTATTTCAAAAAATCATTCTATGAAAATAGATCCTCACACTGGCTTAAGGAAAAATAATTTATTATGAGAATGTGAAAAGGTCTTTCGAAACCTGAGAATGAGAATGCAATTGAACCTTATAAAAAACTAAAACCAGGAGCCTGAATAAGCTGCGTACTGCGCTCTGTCTCCTGTCTCTCCCCTCTACTCTTATCTGCACATCTCACTTGGTTTTTTCTCTTGTTCTGCAGAACCGCATGGCAGGAAACAGGGCTAACAGCATCTCTTGTGCTTTCCATCTCACTGCTTCAGGCACTAAACAGATACCAAACAGACTCTCAGTTTCAGACCTAGTATCTCAAGGAAGAGACTCATCAGCCCAGCCTGGAACAGGTCCTATGTTTGCACAGACCAACTCTGGACATGAATAAGAATCGCGTCTTTTTTTTTTTTTTTTTTTTTTGAGACGGAGTCTCGCTCTGTCGCCCAGGCTGGAGTGCAGTGGTGCGATCTCGGCTCACTGCAAGCTCCGTCTCCCGGGTTCATGCCATTCTCCTGCCTCAGTTTCCCGAGTAGCTGGGACTACAGGCACCCGCCACCGCGCCCGGCTAATTTTTGTATTTTTAGTAGAGACGGGGTTTCACCGTGTTAACCAGGATGGTCTCGATCTCCTGACCTCGTGATCCGCCCGCCTCGGCCTCCCAAAGTGCTGGGATTACAGGCGTGAGCCACGATGTCCGGCCTTTTTTTTTTTTTTTTAATGAACAGATAATTGTGTGGAGTGTGTGTGCGTGTAAGCACAAATGCCAGGAATTGTTACTACTGACTTTCTTAGTCTGTCTTTTATCTTTAAAGCCAAAATCTCAAAATATCACTAATGATTTTTCTCTATTTACTTGGCTAAGCAGGAATAAAATAACTTCATATTTAAATGTTCCTTTAAATTACACCAAAACGTTTTCTTTTATTTTTACCAAAGTATATATAAGTATATCAAGGCTATAATGTTTTTCATGAGTTTGTATTAGGTTGATCAGGTATCCAGATGATATACAATTATCATCCAAATATATTTTGAATTGTCTGAAATATTTGAATTGAATTTAACTTGATCTTCCTTCTCAAAAAATTTGTAATAACAAAAGCATACTGGAGAGTACTAAATAACACATTATGGATTCATAATATTTACACATCTGCAAAAATAATGATTAAGACATATGCTCCAAGCATTTTTTTAAAAGGAAATTAGCTATATTGTTACTTGCTAATTTCTTCAAAATTTTCCTTACTCTGTCCACATGATGGACCCTGGCTTCCTAGGTATGTTTTTATTCTAAATCACAACCACTTGTTATCTTAAGGATAATCTATTAGCTTGATAACAAGAGCAAAGTAATAAATGTTTTGAATGATCCTCTATAGCAGTAGGCAAGATTAAAAGGTAAACATGAAAATGTAGACAGATGATTGTTAAACAAATGTAGTAATAAATAAGAAATTATTTTTAAACAAATAGATACTAAAAATTGACGTATGATATGTATATAAAGGCCTAATAAATTGATTTGCTAATGGTTCCTTGGGTTCATTAACATCGATCTTTGGCATACCGTCCATTCATAAGTATACTGAATTCCTTTCCAAATTGCCAGTATCCTTATTCCTCAGCCAGCAATGTAATCACTTCAATTAGAATGAGAGAGAGTTTATTTAGTAGATACTTGTACAGAACTATCTCTGATTTCAAGGAAAACAAATTAAGCAATATAATTTGGGAGACTGAGTCATGAAATAGGAGTCCGAAGACCCCACTTTTATTCTGGATCCAACACAAAGCTATTATATGACCCTAAAAAAGTCATTTCAATATGCCAAGTCTCAGTTTTTGCATGTATCAATCATTTCACAGAGATACAGGGAAGATTTTATTTGACAAAAACAAATGTATATACAATGAAATGCATAGCTGTTGAGTGTCCAATTTGATACATTTTAGCAAATGTAAGCATGGAGTGTCACCAACACCCAGGTGAAAATACGGAACATTAGCCAGGCTTGGTGATGAGTCTCTCTAAAAAAAATTAAATCAAAATATCGAACATTTCTCTCTCCCCAGAAAGTTTCCTCGTAGAGTGGAAGAATTTCAAGATGTCTTCAGTACTGCATCACCTATAAATCTGGACTTCATTATGAATCACAACCAGGAGGATAGGCCCGTGAATCTACTTCCCTGTGACTAAATTATTCGTTTTATTCATACTATTTTCTCCCTAGACCAATAGTTCCCAAACTGTACTAGGATAATTCCTGGGACAAATCATCTGGCTTGAGAGGTGGGAAACAGCCAATACAGTTAGCCAGGTAACAGGGTCAAACTCATGGGAGCATCAGGCAAAGCTGAGCATGTCTCTTTACTGCAAGACCCGTCAGCACCTTTTCATTGTCTTAATGTGCATTGCAACTCTGTCCTATGAAAACATGCAATGCCTATTTCCAAAACTTATTGTCCACAGTGTATTTTTATTTCAAAACACCTACTTATATCTCAAAGGAACTCAAGTTGCTGCTAAGACAATTGGGAAATGCTTACCTTGATCATGACAGACTCAAAAACTGTCAAGGAAGGCTGAGAACATTCCAAAGACCTCAGCTGCCATCGACTTGTGTTACTGAGACGTCCTGTGAGGAAACCCTCTTTTCCCAAGGTTTCTGACTAGTTCAGTTCACTAATATTGTGGAATGGATAAAGTCAACATGGAAGAATCTCCCCTCTCCTACCATTTTGGGGGAAATTGGTGTCTAACACTGCAGCTTTGTTTTGTTTTTCATACTTTAAGTTCTAGGGTACATGTGCACAATGTGCAGGTTTGATATATAGGTATACATGTGCCGTGTTGGTTTGCTGCACCCATCAACTCATCATTTACATTAGGCATTTCTCTTAATGCTATCCCTCCCCCAGCCCCCCACCCCCTGACAGGCCTCGGAGTGTGATGTTCACCACCCTATATCCAAGTGATCTCATTGTTCAATTCCCACCTATGAGTGAGAACATGCGGTGTTTGGTTTTCTGTCCTTGTGATAGTTTGCTGATAATGATGGTTTCTAGCTTCATCCATGTCCCTGCAAAGGACAAGAACTCATCCTTTTTTACAGCTGAATAGTATTCCATGGTGTGTATATTCCACATTTTCTTTTCTTTTTTTTTTTTTTTTTTGAGATGGAGTCTCACTCTGTCCCCCAAGCTGGAGTGCAGTGGTGCGATCTTGGCTCACTGCAAGCTCTGCCTCCTGGGTTCATGCCATTCTCCTGCCTCAGCCTCCCGATTAGCTGGGACTACAGGTGCCCACCACCACGCCTGGCTAATTTTTTGTGTTTTCTTTTTTTAGTAGAGACCGGGTTTCACCGTTTTAGTCAGGATGGTCTCGATCTCCTGACCTCATGATCCGCCTGCCCCAGCATCCCAAAGTGTTGGGATTACAGGTGTGAGCCACCGCGCCTGACCTATATGTGCCACATTTTCTTAATCCAGTCTATCATTGATGGACATTTGGGTTGGTCTGTGCTATTGTGAATAGTGCCGCAATAAACATATGTGTGCATGTGTCTTTATAGTAGCATGATTTATAATCATTTGGGTCTATACCCAGGAATGGGATTGCTCAGTCAAATGGTAATTCTAGTTATAGATCCTTAAGGAATCGCCACACTGTCTTCCACAATGGTTTAACTAATTTACACTCCTACCAACAGTGTAAAACATTCCTATTTCTCCACATCCTCTCCAGCATCTGTTGTTTCCTGACTTTTTAATGATTGCCATTCTTTTTTTTTTTTTTTTTTTGAGATGGAGTCTGGCTCTGTTGCCCAGGCTGGAGTGCAGTGGTGTGATCTCTGTTCATTGCAACCTCCACCTCCCAGGTTCAAGTGATTTTCCTGCCTCAGCCTCCCAAGTAGCTGAGACTACAGATGTGTGCCACCACGCCTGGCTAACTTTTTTGTATTTTTAGTAGGGACAGCGTTTCACTGTGTTAGCCAAGATGGTCTTGATCTCCTGACCTCTTGACCCGCCTGCCTTGGCCTCCCAAAGTGCTGGGATTACAGGCGTGAGCCACCGCACCCGGCTTGGATTGCCATTCTAACTGGCATGAGATGGTATCTCATTGTGGTTTTGATTTGCATTTCTCTGATGACCAGTGATGATGAGCATTTTTTCATGTGTCTGATGGCTGCATAGATGTCTTCTTTTAAGAAGTGTCTGTTCATATCCTTTACCCACTTTTTGATGGGTTTTTTTTTCTTGTAAATTTGTTTGCGTTCTTTGTAGATTATGGATATTAGCCCTTTGTCAGATGGGTAGATTGCAAAAATTTTCTCCCATTCTATAGGTTGCCTGTTCACTCTGACGGTAGTTTCTTTTGCTGTGCAGAAGCTCTTTAGTTTAATTAGATCCCATTTGTCAATTTTGGCTTTTGTTGCCATTGCTTTTGGTGTTTTAGACATGAAGTCCTTGCCCATCCCTATGTCCTGAATGATATTGCCTAGGTTTTCTTCTAGGGTTTTTATGGTTTTAGGTCTAACATTTAAGTCTTTAATACATCTTGAATTAATTTTTGTGTAAGGTGTAAGGAAGGGATCCAGTTTCAGCTTTCTACATATGGCTAGCCAGTTTTCCCAGCACCATTTATTGAATAGGGAATCCTTTCCCCATTTCTTGTTTTTGTCAGGTTTGTCAAAGATCAGATGGCTGCAGATGTATGGCATTATTTCTGAGGCCTCTGTTCTGTTCCGTTGGTCTATGTATCTGTTTTGGTACCAGTAGTATTGTATCATTCTTATGCCTTTGTGTCCTCATAGCTTAGCTCCCACATATCAGTGAGAACATACGATGTTTGGTTTTCCATTCCTGAGTTACTTCACTTAGAATAATAGTCTCTAATCATTTTTAATGTTAATTGTGGCTTACATTTTTTGAATAGGCAAAACCAAATTTCCAATTTACAGTAAAACAGGAGCTAAGAATAACCACAGAGAATCATACCCTTGGATTAAAAAAAAAAAAAACTCTTAACTTTTTGTAATTTCTAATTTAATTTAATACACTTTGTATTAACTTATGAACACTTCTCATTTTTTTCTTTGATCCTGAAATAGAAGGCATTAAATTATGCACAGATTATTGAAAGGGGCAAAGAGAACAGGCTCTGGAACCAGATCTGCCACTCAGGTTGGAATCCTGACTATGTGCGAAGTGAGGAAGTCCCAGGAGGCAACATGAGAAGAAGATAAAAAGGTTCAGAGTTACAATTACTCCACCAAAATAAAAGGTCTGGGGCTACTACTGAGGTTTATGAAATTTGTGGGGCTGATTACAGATGGTTTTCTATAAACAAGAAGAAAAAAGATCACTTCTTTATTCCTAGCTCAGCAGACATCTCCAAGAGCTCAACAGACTGAACCAGAGATAAATTTTCAAAGTATAATTTACTATGCATTTATTATGTGCCAGGCAGTGTTGCAAGCAGTTTATATTTATTAACTTATATAATCTTTATCAGAAGGAGTTGAAGGATGTCAGCAGGAATGGTGGAGTAAAAACCTCTGAAAATCCACTTCTCCATAAAAGCAATAAGAACACTGAGAAAAAATGTCAAATCATCATTTCTGGAACTCTGAAAATTAGCCAAAGTCTTGAAATAATTTGGGGAACATTTTCTTATTTATTTATTTATTTATTTCATTTGAGATGGAGTCTTGCTCTGTCGCCCAGGCTGGAGTGTGGTGGCACGATCTCAGCTCACTGCCTCCTGGGTTCACACAATTCTCAGCCTACCCATGGTAGGCTACCCATGTAGTCCCATGGTAGCTGGGACTACAGGCACCTGCCACCATGCCTGGCTAATTGTTTTGTATTTTTAGTGGAGACAGGGTTTCACCGTGTTAGCCAGGATGGTCTCGATCTCCTGACCTCGTGATCCACCTGCCTCGGCCTCCCAAAGTGCTGGGATTACAGGTGTGAGCCACCGCACCTGGCTGGAGAACATTTATTTTTAAAAAATGGCCAAAACTTCGTAATAACAGTGATCTTTGCATCATTTTCAGTTCCTCTATACTCACTTTCCTCTCTAGCTCTACAGTAGCCTTGAAAACAAAGAGCCCTGTGATCATAATGAAAACAATCATCCTAGAAGCTCTGAAGAAGGGAGAATAGCTTTGGAGCTCCCCTAAAACATTCCCAGAGAACTACCGTCATTTGCCTAGAAGTTCCCTGGAAACTTCCTCTCGAAGGGGTTGTCTTTATTTGGCCTGAACCAGTGATCACTGACTGTGAACAGCCATTCTCCAGATGTGTTTGTCAAAAACAATCAGCAGTAACTATTTAACATTAAAGCTGCCTAAAGCTGTGATAACATTTGGAGACAAAAAGAAGCTAGCCAAAAAAACTTAAAAGGAAAATCTGAGGAATAAGATGTCATAGGGAACTTTGAAGAGTTCTAATATATTCCTGAAAATCTAAACAGCCACACACATGAGAAAGAATGTGTGACTGCCCAGGGCTCTGCATATGACCAGGAAATACCTCAGAGGGCCCTAAGCTCTCACCTCTTTATTACCTGGGGAATCTGCACAAACAGGAAGTGAAGGATAAGGCAGAATTATAAACTGCCTTCCTACACATTGAAGGCATACCTCAAAACCCACACAGCCCCTTATCAGAGGCTTGAAAGACAGGAATTCCAGGCATTTCTGAAAATCTGTGTCCAGATATTAGCTGACACAATAAACTAATCATGCAGAGACTCCAATAAATACATGTGAAAAATGATGCAGACTTGAAAGAGTCAGTCCAGAAAATTAATGAAATAAACAAAGAGCAGCAACAAAAACAAACCCTGTGGAGAAGAAAGAATATGATTTCCAGAGTGGCCACATATTATTATTTAAAATGCCCAGTTTTCAACAAAAACATCCCAGCAGTTTCTTGAAAACTTAAACATAGACTGGGACCCACAAGCCACTCCCAAGTATATCCCCAAGAGAAGTGAAAAGAAAGCAGTAACACTGCCTCTATTTGAAGATGACAAGATCTTGCATATAAAAAAAATCCCAAAGAACCCACAACATAAAAACTCATACGCAACGTCTGTATAAAAACTTGTATACAATGTTTATAGCAGAATTGTTTGTAATGGCTGAATAGTGAAAAAAATCCAAAAGTACATCAACTAATGAAAACATAAACAAAATGCCGTATATTCATGCTGTGGAAGAGGATTCAACCATGAAAAGGAATGAAGTACTGATAAATGCTACAACATGGACGAACCTTGAAAACATTATGCTGAGTGAAAAAAGTCAGAGACAAGAGGCCACATACTGTATGATTCTATTTATATGAAATGCCCAGAATAGGAAAATCCATAGAGGCATCGATTATTGGTTGCCAGGACCTAGGGCAAAGCAGGGTGTATGGAATGACTACTAGAATATATGAAGCTTCTTTTTGGATAATGAGCTTGTTCTGAATTCCATAAGGGCGATAGTTCACACCTGTGTGAATATACTAAAAACCACTGTGGGGGTGGTTGTGGGGCTACTGCAGTCTTCTCTATTCAACAGATGATAAAATGGAGGTACTAGATATTAGGCAATTTATGCTAAGTCACAAAAGTAGTAAGTGATAAAAATGGGATTCAAACCTAGACACTCTGTCTCCAGCATCCAAACTTTTAACTACTATGTCATGTGGAACTTGCAAAAGTCTCTTTCCTAGCAAAATTCAACTAACAAACCAAACAGGTGATATCTTGTTTCCTTTTTAGCTGGAGACAATGATATAAAGCAGAGATATTTGTACCATTTTTGTAGATTAGGTGATATACCCAGATATTCTGTAAGATTACAATGACATATAATGAAACCTATAAGTACCTTTACAGAAATTGCCTCTCATCAGATCATTTGGTTCCATCTTTGCCATATGTAAAATCTTCTACTATAATGGCACAGGAATAAGACTTTTTCCGCAGAGACTTTACCAGTGTGGACTTGTCATTTTCTGTTTCACAATGTTACTCAAGCCCTTGGTGTTTACCTTCCTTGTTTATAACACAGGGATAATAGTGGTATCCCCTTAGAGGACTGGAATTAACACAATACGCTTAGGCTACTGCCATGAACATAGTGCTCCTTCATAAGTGCTAGCTATCGTAGTAATAATTAATATTATGCTCATACCGATACCATAAACTAATCATCACTTTCCTCATAATTCTTGTTAATATAGGCAATATGAGAAAATAAATAACTTAAATGAGAATATGATCAATGTTCACCAGCCACTACAACCATTGCAAGAATAGCTAGTAACTCACGGACTGGGTGGATGGAGAGTGAACTACACAAATAAGGTGAGGACACAAGGAGAGAAGTATTCTGCTGAATTAGCAGATATTTTCCCTAAGTGAAAATTTTGGAAATGGATGGAAACTATAACCAGTTGAATTTTCAGAGTAGGATTGTGAGGCTGAGTAACATTTTCCAAACATTTTTAATCCATATTTGGTTGAATCCACAGATGTGAAATCCACAGATATGGAGGATGACTGTGTGTTTAAATAGAATAAATATGTTAATTAGTTGGATTTATTTATTTATTTTTTAATTCTCAGATGGTACTTGGACTGGGTCACTGGTCACTAGCTTAATTTTTGATACCTAGGGAAATTTTCTCACACAGGCACAAGACTGTAAAGAAGTCAGTGTTTATCCTCAGATGCAACACCAATTCCACTTAGCAGAAGGTCCCTGGATTTCAAAAGAAGGAAATGAAGTATCTTGGTTTGATGAGGGGAAGTCACCGACTATAAGAAGGATGCCAAGTATTTTGGATTGATAAGCAGAAGTTGATGAAGAAAACAGAACGAATTCAGAAGAACTATGATCTTGTCCTGTGGTTTTTCTCTGACTTTATAAAGACCTAGGCTTCATATCTTTGCTTCTATGGAGACCAGATGCCTCATTTCCAACATGAAGGGCTTGATCAGTTGATCTCTGTGTTCCTTTCTCAGAGGTCTAATGTTCTACAATTAAATGCCAGTCAAGTCAAGAGCAGGCATCTCAGATTCTTCAGAATAACCACCATGAAAGGAAAAGAATGGAGAGAAGAAGAGGAGTGACTGAAGGAATAAACATTCTGCTTTCTGAAAGGGCTGAAGACACTTGACAACATAGCAATTAATAAAAGGACAAAAGAGATCTGGGAGCAGAGTTTTCATGTTTGAGTAGACGGACTCAGCAGGAGGGTTAAAAGATGGACAAGGTGGGCAAGTCACCAATGAGAAATGTAAGGTGGGGGGGTGGGTATGGTGTTGTGCAAAGGGCATGGGATTTGGGTCCTAAAACCTGTTTGAAGTCATTCACTAATTTATATAACTGTGGGTAAGCCACCCATGTTTCTGAGCCTTATTTCCTCATATGTAAAGTGTGAACAATATTTGTACTAGATTCCCGAGGATTCACATAGGATCCTTCAAATGATACATAATAGTAAATTAATTAATATATCCTGCACCTAGTTTCTGCCCACAAATTTCTTTTTGGATGCAATCTACAAAAACACAGAGTTATCTTTATCCCTCGAGTTTTGTCCCTGAAGTTATCCCTGGAGTCTGGCAGAGAGGCACAACAAAGGTCATCTCCTAATCCCTTCCCTTCTCTGTCCAGAAGTCTACAAAATCCCCCTCAAAACCTACAAATATTGTAAAGCCTTACCAGTAAAACCTACTGTGATAAATAGAAGCCACACAATTTACTCATATAAAATGCAAGTTCACATTATATGAGCTAAATGAAATGAACTCAGTAGCCTTCAGAGTATTCCACTGAGGGTTCTGATCTGTCCCAACAAAAATCCCAGCTGTACTTTGGCACACATGGTGAGTGTTACCTTCTCCTGCTTAAATATTGATGGAGATGATTCTGGGCTCTGTGGCTCAGCAGCTCCAGGGATCTTCTGTTCATTTGCATCTTGAGAAGATTGGGCCAGGAGACTATGGTGGCTGGGAGGATACATCCTCCTCCTGCCCTCTTTCCAAGATGGGCTTGTCTGTTTCATCCTTCCCTCCACATTCCCCTCCTAGGTCAGAAGATAAGAACTTTCGGAATCATTCTCCCCATTTAAGAATGGGGGCTTGGCAAGGAAGAGATCCAATCACTAATTTTAATGTGATATTGGGATATTTTACTGTAACTCCCAAATCTGAAAAGCATCCTATCAATGAGTGTTTGTGTTATCTACTATTTTAACTGATAAGGGCTGAATTCTGTCTCCCCAAAATTCATACGTTGAAGTCCTAACCCCCAGTACCTCAGTATTTGGAGACAGCACCTTTATAGAGGTCATTAAGTCCAAATGAGGCCAGTTAGGATGTGTCCTGATCCAATATGACTTGTGAATTTATAAGGAAAGGAGATCAGGACACACAGAGGGATGCCAGAAATGCACACAGAGAAAAGACCATATGAGGTCCCAGGGAGAAGGTGGCCATCTGCAAGCCAAGAAGGGAGGCTTCAGGAGAAACCAACCCTGCCAGCACCTTGATCTTGAACTTCCAGACTCTAGAATAGTGAGAAAATAAATTTCTGTTGTGTAAGCCATCCGGCCTGTGGTATTTCGTCATGGCAGGCCTGCATCAGTCCATGTTTGCATAGCTATAAAGAAATACCTGAGACTGGATAATTTGTAAAGAAAAAAGGTTTTGTTGGTTCACAGTTCTGCAGGCTGTCCAGGAACCACGGCACCAGCATCTCTTCCTGCTGAGGCTCCGAAAAGTTCCAGTCATGACAGAAGGTAGAGGGAGAGCTGGTGTATCACATGGCAATAGCAGGAGCAAGGGGTGGGGGAAGATGCCAGGCTCTTCTCAATAACCAGATTGCACATGAACTAACAGAGCAAGAACTCACTCATTGCAATGCGGATGGCCCAAGCCATTCATGAGGAGTCCACCCTCATGACACAAACACCTCTCACCAGGCTCCACCTCCAACATTGGGGATTACATTTCAACATGAGATTTGGAGGGGACAAACATTCAAACCATATCACAGCCCCGGTGGACTAATATATTAACCAAGTGATAATGGTAACCTCTAGTGAGGGAAATGGACAAAATGGAGAAAGAAACCCACATTGCTGAGTCTTATGCACCTTCTCCTTCCCTATTCCTTAAATAATGGAGGCTAACTCTTCCCGATGGGAGTTAAGGCTCAGAGAAACACACTGATTTGAAGAAATTATTCAAAGCTCAGGACAGCCTTTCTGCACAGGAATGGTTACAATAGGCCATTCTATCAGTTATCTATTACTGCTTAACAGAGTGCCCCAAACTGAGCAACTAAAGCAACAAGTGTTATCTCACAGTTTCAGTGGGTCAAGAGTACAAGACTGGCTAATCTCACTGGTACTGGTGCAGGGTCACTCATGAAGCTTCAAGCAACCTGTTAGCTGGAGCTGCAGTGCCATGAAGTTCCTGAAGCTGTAGGCTCCAGTTCTAAGCTCACTCACATGGCTTATTTCCTCATCTCACAAACCTCTGTTTGGGCTGATCACAATGTGGCAGCTGACTTCCTCCAGAGCAAGCGTTCTGAGACCAACAGTAAGAACAACCAACATGGCAGCCGCAGTATGTTTTATAACCCACCTGCAGTATCTTGTATAACCCACCTGCAGTTTCTTGTATAACCCACCCGCAGTTTCTTGTATAACCCACCTGCACTATCTTGTATAACCCACCTGCAGTTTCTTGTATAATCCACCTGCAGGAGGGACATATCATTGGGTCTTCCATGTGCTATTGGTCACACAGAAACCTCACACAATGTAGGAACGGACTAACACAAGGGTGTGAATACTGGGAACTGAGGACCAGTTATTTGCAGCCACCTTGGAGGCTGACTACCATTTAAAAAGTCTCAGAAGAGAGTGTGGAGCCCAAGTATCCTTACCAATTCTCCGTGCTCACTCACCTGAATCCATTCCTTTTCCCAAACCCATCCCCCCTGACTAAATAAAGGTCAATAGAACCCAACATTTCCTTTACATGTACTCATGAAAAAGAAAAAAAAAAGAAGAAGAAAGCTAGTGTCAGGTAAAGTAGTAAAGTGTGAAGAGAGTCAAATAGTTATTTATCCATTATATTTGTGAGCAAGTGGCATGTCTGGAAAGACCCATCTAATCATAAAGAAGACAGAAAGAAAAGGCATGTTATATAATATTGACATCACACAGTTAGAAAACACACACACAACCCACAGCAAGGGAAAATTTGGGTCCTAACCTAGGAGAAGGTATAAATTGGCTCTTCACAGTTGGTTTCTGCTACAAAATAACTTTAAAACAGTATTGATTCAATAAAACAGCATCCTAAAGATAAGATGATGAAACAAGAGGGAGATTGGAAATGAAAGAAATTAAATTGTCAACCACAACCACATCCCTTTGGAAGTCATTAATTAGAAAAAGCAGGAAACAGAATAGTCATCTCTGAAAATCAAATTAATGACATAAAAGAAATACTCCAATATAGATTAAATAGAAAAAAACAATGAGGGAGAAACTAATAAATAGAAAACACATGAGAATATTATTGTACCTACAGCAGAAAAATCCAACAGATTGACAAAAAGATGTATGAAAAGATAGAAGTGAATGTCTCTGAAATGGAGAAAGTATTGAAGCTGCAAATCGCAAAAGCAAAATGTGCCTAGGGAAATTCGATATAGAAAGCCTACCACCAAGATTTGTCCTAGTAAAGATTTTGAAATTCAATGATAAAGAAAATAGTTCTTCAGGCACCAAGCAGAGAGAGCGAGTCGCTCTAAAGAAAGATGTGATCATGGTTGGTTTTACAGTGTTCTACAAATACCATTCAATAAGAGAAGACATCAAAAAATACCTACAAAGTTCTGAGAAGAGAAGGCACGGGGCCAAGAATATCATACCTAGTTAAGATGTCATGAAGACATAAAAGTGACACATATATATTCTCAAACAAGGAAGAACTAAAGAAATGTAATGCCTAGGAGCCTTTCTTTCATTTAAAAAAAAAAATTCCTTGGCATTAAAATTCATCGGCCGGGCATGGTGGCTCACAGCTGTAATCCCAGCACTTTGGGAGGCCAAGGTAGGCAGATCACAAGGTCAGCAGATCAAAACCATCCTCTCCAACATGGTGAAACCCCGTCTCTACTAAAAATATAAAAATTAGCCAGGCATTGCAGCATGTGCCTGTAATCCCAGTTACTCGGGAGGGTGAGGCAGGAGAATTGCTTGAACCTGGGAGGTGGAGGTTGCAGTGAGCCGAGATTGCGCCACTGCACTCCAGCCTGGCGACAGAGCTAGACTCTGTCTCAAAAAAAAAAAAAAAAATTATCCATTGCAGAATGAATTTAAATGTAGAACTCATGAAGGTAGAAGCTATGACGAAAGGGTAGGTAATCAGCACCTAAGCCATTTAAATATAAAGCTAACACTTAATAACTATACAAGTTATGGTCATAGAACAGAATATGCATGCTATAAACCTAGACAATAAAAAATAATAATAATACTATAAGCAACAAAAATTGTCATTGAGGGAGGGGAGCTATGAAACATTGAATGATTGTGAAAGGACTCATTCCTTCATTTTTCAAAGCAAAGTATCAACAGATACTTTCCTAAAACCTGAATATGAGTTTACCAAAAACAAAACAAACAAACAAAAAAACCCCCTCATGTCATAAGGAGTGCAATCTTGTAATATTTCTGAAAACTTCTCTTAATTTTAAAATCATCTTTAGGTAATAGTAATAGCTGTTCTTGGGATGGTATTTATTTAAAAATTAAGAATTTGTTCAGTATTTTTCTTCTATTTAGTTAAATCTAAAAAGCCAAATTTAAAAATAACATCTGGCATATCATTCCATTTTTATAAATGTATTAAAGACATAATTATCTATTTATTCTTCCCCTTCTTTCTGAATAAATATATAGAAAAAGTGCTGAAATAACAGCCTAACAATTGTGATAACAATTTCTGGGTACCTGGCTTGGATGCTTATTTTTAGTTTTATCTTTATGCTTTTACATTCGTTGATTTCTTTACAATTTGTAAACATCATTCATTGGAAAAAAAATGGAGACAAATATATCAAGATGCTATCCATGGTTAAAACTGGGCAGTAGGACCAGAAGTGATGATTTTTTTCTTTATATTTTGATGTTTTCTTAATTACGTTGAAGTGGAAATTTTTTTTTAAAAAAGGAAAAACATTAAAATTGGGAGAGATTTTAAAAATCATCTAGTCCAGATCTTTTATTTAATAAATTTAAATAAATGCAACACACATTTATTAAGTGCCTACTGTATGCAGATCAACTGAAAGATGAATAGGATATAGACTTTGCCCTTAAACCAGTGATGTGCTTGAGTTGGCTTGTGATCGCACACAAGGGTTTATTTTTAAGTTTTCAGGAATTTAGGGTGCTTTTTGTTACATACAGTTATTATTTAAAATTAAATTATATACTTCACTGTAGTATTTTTCATGCTGGTGAATATCTTTAATCTTATTTTGATATGCCACATTATAACTAAAAATGGGCTACCAACAGTGCCTTTCTTAAAAAATTATATCCAGATGTAGTGGCTCATACCTGTAGTTCCAGCTACTTGGGAGGCTAAGGCAGGAGGATCACTTGAGCCTAGTTGGCTGAGGCTGGAGTGAGCCATGATGGCATCACCTGCATTCCAGCTCAGGTGACAAAGCAAGAAAAAATTAATAAATTTTGTCCAAAAAATAAATTATACAAACTTACAATTAAATAAGTTATATTGAAATTCTTAAATTTTATCTAAAAAATTATACAAACTTATAATTGAATAAATTATATTAAAAAGAAAAGTATGGTGCAAATGTAATTGTGGTTTTTGCCATTAAAAGTAATGGTAATTTTTAAAAGCAATTAAAAATATTTTTGCCATTAAAAATAATAAGTACCCAGACACTTCCAAGTGATTTTATTCCATGCGCTGTTTCCTGGGCTCTTGGGAGCCGGTTCGCATGTTGCCTCTGTCTGGTGGAAACCTGTGCCGTGAGGGCTACTGCACACCTCTTCTCAACTCTCCTTCAAGGACATCGCATTAAGAGGCTAAATTTGGCTTTCGTGGGAGGATTTTCACCAGAGAAAGCATTAACTATTACACATTTGAGCTTCACTATTTTAAAGAAGCCATGAGAAAAAATGGGAATGATGTAGATTGTACTTCAATGTTTGCCACGCTTGTAGCTATGACGTGAATAGCACAAATTTAAGGAAAGAAATATTCTTCCAGTATTTGGAAACTGTCACTCAATTCAGTAATCACTCATGTTACTGAAAAATGAATGAAGTTACAACTATGTCTTCATTGTTTCAGTTTTGTCTTGCTAATGCAAATGGAAATACCAGCCAACTGTCACAGCAGAAGTACATTCGTTCTTCAGTTGCAACCATGCGTTGGCGGCAGTTACTGGAGTACAGTTAATACCAACGAAAGCATCTCGTGAGAATCAACTGACTAACTGGAATTGACAATAAAAGGTATCATATGATATAATATTTTATTATTATTTTTAAGTGGCATGCTATATACTCTTTACATTGGTGAAAGCTGTAATAAACATATGAGTGTGTGTGCACCTGCTCACATATAGTTTCTTTTAGAGTTGGTCATTACATATGCCAACGCAAAACTGTTCATAATCTAGTGTGAAAGAAAAATCTGTGAAAAACGATCAATAACAAAAGGCAGAATGAAAGAATCAAAGTCTTAGCCTATAAGGGAACAGTGTGATCATCTGCCTGGTGAAAGAAAGCAAGGAAAGAATCCAAGGTTCAGAAGGATGATGAGAATGGTGCAGTTCATTCCGTTTGCCAGCAAAATCAATCATTGCCAGAACTCAGCAGCCTTTCTCCCAGCAGCCCATGGAGAATGACAGACTCTTTTCCCTCATTCTGCTTGTATGCTGTATGCACATGAAATCGTGTTCATTTTAAACCAAATTCACTGAGATTTTGTGCTATCAAGATGCCTAGGAGTGACGTGATCAATAAACCGAGAACCAAGAAGAGATTTCTCCTCTCCAAATCACCGTTCCATCCCTTCCGTCATTCCTCTGTGATTCTTCCCACAGGAATCCTCTTACACCTACAAGCCTGAGCAGTCAAGAGAACTATGGCACATTACAATACATGACAGGGGAATTTTCTAAAGAGACACACATCCCTGACTGATGCAGAAGCTTCATCTGAGGATGCAGGAAGTGGAACAGCCACTGCGTCATTGCCTCTTCTAAACAGAAATGGAATCAGTGGGAATAATTATAAAACTGGAGAATATATAAAAATTGCCTCTAAAATAAACCTATCTCCTTCCTAAGAAGTAGCCATGCTCACCAGATGGAGTGGAAAGGCAATTGGGGAAATGGGTCAGTCCCACCTGGGCCTCCACCCAGCTGGGTGACCCAAGACCTTCATTTTTATCACCTATAAAATGAAAGTGTTCAACAGGCTGCTTTTCATGTCTCTTTTCAGCCCTAATGTTTCTTAATTCTAAGGACTAGCAGAGTAGAGATCTCTCTCTAAGGAAAGTTAAGAAGTTCCTAGTCCCAAATAGAGTCTGTTTTGCTACAGTGCATGTTTGTGCAATCTAAATTAACTCATCCATGACTGACGATTTGGGGAATATCCGAATGGGAGAAAAGGCATGCTGACTCACAGTTTTTACCAGGAGTTTAGATTTTGTACCTCCCGGTAACAATAGCTTCCTGCAAAGTCCACTAGCCCAGCTGAACACAGCCAGGCATGGAGGATTCAACACAGTACTGCATATTCAGGCGACCCAAGTGTGCTCCAAAAGCTCACAGTCGGAGCATCTCAGGTAAGCCTGTTGGAAATGCAGAATCCCAGACCCTACTCCAGGCTGACTAAATCAAAATCTGCATTTGAACAACACCTCAAGGTTATTCATATGCATATTGGAGTTTGAAAAGCCTTGATACCTTCAACATTCATTCGTGGCACTTTCTGCTACTCAACTCAGTTTTACCACCTGTTCTTTCTTGGACCTGCTTATTAAGTGGCTCACCCACTTCTGTTAAGCTACTGATATGGTTTGGCTGTGTCCCCACCCAAATCTCATCCTGAATTGTAGTACTCATAATCCCCATGTGTCATGGGAGGGACCTGGCAGGAGGTAATTGAATCATGGGGTGGTTACCCTCATGCTGTTCTCATGATAGTGAATGAGTTCTCATGAGATCTGACGGTTTTATAAGGGGCTTTTCCTCTCTTCGCTCTGCACTTCTCCTTGCTGCTGCCATGTGAAGAAGTATGTGTTTGCTTCTCCTTCCGCCATGACTGTAAGTTTCCTGAGGCCTCCCCACATTGCAGAATTGTGAGTCAGTTAAACCTCTTTTCTTTATAAATTACCCAGTCTCGGGTGATTCTTCTAAGCAGCATTACAATGGACTAATACAGCTACCTACAATTTTGTTTTGGTTTTAAGGGATTGAAACTGTCATTTTTACTCTGATTCTTTCTCCTAGGATTCCTAATGTTTTTGTCAGTACTGTGGTTAAAAATTTGCAACATTCTTTTTCCCAGAAGCCTTATTATATTTTAGCACATGATTTTGCAGTACATAAAGTTTTTTGTGATCTTATATATAACATTATAGCAGAAATGCCAATATACTGCTTCAGTTCAGTTCTATCTTTAATAAATTAAGTTATTGAAAAATAAACTTATCCTTTTTTAAGCTAGTGTGGACTATTTGGGAAAAGAAGGAAAAGTAATTTTCCCTTATTCTTTACCAACCCAACCTCAGGAGGGTTGCTTTCCTTTCCCTTTTCCCCAAACCCACACACTACTACTGAAAGTGGTGTCTCTGCTCTTGGCTCTTGGTATGGGAACCACAGTGAGTATGAATTACTGATTATAAAAATTTTGGTCTGATATTTTAAAATTCATTGCATCCTCACCCTAATAAACCTAGTAACCCTTTGTGAGGCTACAAAAAAAAAAGGCATATTTGCTTGCCCAGGGGGCTTCTCTTCCAGTTCACCTGGGTAGAATTCTGGGTGTAGTCCCCACTTCTACCACTAGGGACCACTCCCGTCCCCAGGGACCTTGTCTCAGTCCTGGACCCACAGCATCCGTTCCAGTCCCCAGAGCTCAACCACTGGGCAGGGAAAGCTCCCAGGAAGGGGCTCGGCTTCACTGTGGTTTTCTGTGAGCCACGTTTTCTGCTTATAGACCCGGGAGGTAGGAGCTGACCCAGTCTCCCACCGGCTCCTCCTCTGGTGGTTATGGCCAAGCCAGCCTGCACACCCCTGAGGCTGGAGAGGAGCATACTGCCCAGCCCGCCGGGCCCCGCGCTGCGGCCCTCAGACCTCTCCTGTTAGCTTCAGCGCGGTTCTCGTTCTGGCCTAAGGAAGCTGCTCTTCTTCCAAACCATCTCTCTCAAAATAGGTTGCCAGCCACTATGGTCTACTAGAATTGAGTTTCCCTATTTGAAAAAAAGGTTTTGTCTTTAAAAATAAAAAAAGAAAAAAAAAAAAAAGAGTCCAAGGAAGAAGCCGATTTTATTTATATTTGATTGAAATATTATTCCCTAATCCTCCATTATCATTTTCATTTCCCTCTATCTTTCAGCATTCTTTATTATTCCAGGGGTAGACCTGCCGTGGGTCTGATCACACCATTAATAATGTGACTTAAAAGCCTGTAGGTGCACACCCGGGAAGGCTGCCTTATTGGTCGAGCACTGCAGGGCCCTTCTCAAACGGACCACCATCACTGGGCCAGAGGCACTGACCCCTGAACATTACTTATACCTCCATGAGGAACTAGTGAGGCTACAGTGCCCAGACATTTAGCCTACAAACAGTACTGATGTTTCTGTAAAGGTATTTATAGATGCAATTAACATTTAAATTATAGACTTTGAGAAAGGAAGATGGGAAGGAAGGAGGGAGGGAGGGACAGAGGAAGGGAAAGAAGGAAGGAAGGGAGGGAGGGAAAGAGAAAGAAAGAAAGAGAGAGAGAAAGAAAGAAAGAAAGAAAGAAAGAAAGAAAGAAAGAAAGAAAGAAAGAGAAAGAAAGAGAAAGAGAGAGAGAGGGAGAGAAGGAGGGAGAGAGGGGGAGAGAGAGGGAGAGAGGGAAAGGGAAAGGGGCAGGGAGGGAGGGAGGGAAAGAGAAAGAGAGAGAGAGAAAGAAAGAAAGAAAGAAAGGGGGAGAGGGAGAGAAGGAGGGACAGAGAGAGAGAGGGAGGGAGAGAGGGAGAGAGGGAAAGGGAAAGGGGGAGGGACGGAGGGAGGGAAGGAAGGAAGGAGGGACGGAGGGAAGGAAGGAAGGAAGGAAGGAGGGAAGGAGGGAGGGAAGGAAGGAAGGAAGGAGGGAAGGAGGGAGGGAAGGAAGGAAGGAGGGAAGGAGGGAGGGAAGGAAGGAAGGAAGGAGGGAAGGAGGGAGGGAAAGAAGGAGGGAGGGGGGAGGCAAAGAGGGAGGGAGAAAAAAATAACACCAGGTTGCAATGAGCGATTTCATGACTTACAAGATTTGAAAGTGGACAGACTGACAGCTTCACTGCTAAGGAGCTTCTAAGCTGAAATGAAAACTGGAATCCCAGACTTTTTCCCACATCTGCCTCCCACGTTGCTGTGCATATAAGCACTAGGTTTCTGTCCCTCTGACTTCACAACAGAAAAGTAGATACTGGAATTCCTCTATATATCACCTTTTTAACCACTGCTATATCTTTCTGGGGCTCTTGCTAAAGTAGTAAGATTAATTTATATGATGAAAAGTGTTTTTCTTTTCTTTTCCTTTTTTTTTTTTTTTTTTTTTTTTTTTTTTGAGATGGAGTCTTGCTCTGTTGCCCAGGCTGGAGTGCAGTGGTGTGATCTCAGCAAACTGCAACCTCCGCCTCCGGAGTTCAAGTGATTCTTCTGACTCAGCCTCCTGAGTAGCTGGGATTACAGGCGTGTCCCACCAGGTCCGGCTAATTTTTGTATTTTTAGTAGAGATGGGGTTTCACCATGTTGGCTAGGCTGGTCTTGAACTACTGACCTCAAGCAGTCCACCCCACCTCGGCCTCCCAAAGAGCTGGGATTACAGGCATGGACCACCACGCCCGGCCTGAAAGTGTTTTTCTACAGGACACATTAGCACTTTCAACAACCACTAGTTCAGAGCCTCAGAAGTCCCTAAAAAGTGGTTCGCAACCCTGGGGGCACATGGAAATCACCAGAAGAGTTTGTCAAAGCTAGCGATGCTCCAGCCCCATCAAAAAGTATTAACTCAGAATCCTCTGTGTAGACCATGCAGAGGAAACTCCTTTAAGCTCCCGTAGTGACCCAGCCATGCAGCCAGAGTGGAGAAACCCCATCCTGAAAAACCAGGAGTGGGCCACCACCACTATTTGTCCCTGAACTGATGTCACAGTCATTGTTCAGTGGAGCTTGTAGTAAATTGGCTAGCACAGGCTTATTTCTCAGCTTGACTCTCAGCTTGGCTCTCTGGGGGACCCGATGTCCTTTCGGGCTCAGCTTACCAGTCATTTGACATTTCAGCCCCCATCCAGCATCGGCAACACCACCAGCACCATGGTGGAGTGGTGTCAGGAGCAGAGGTTCAGGGTCAGATACATGGTCACCTGACCTACAAGCCAAGGCATTGGGCAGTGACCCTTCGTTTTCATCTCTGTAAAATAGGAAGAATTATCAAAATTCAACCAATGGGATGTCTGTAATATTAATGGAATATGTGTAATATTCACTAACATACCCATCAAAATAAATTGCTGCTGTGAGTAATAGAGGTTCTTACCAAGAGCTCAACAGGTAAGAGTCAGGAGGTGCTTCTGGGATTCCAATAATTTGGAATGAAATGATGATGAATTGCAATTTGGTCGCAAATAAAAACAAGACAAACTAATAGGACTTGAGGTAGGAAGTGCTTGTGTTTGCTCTCTATGGCAGCCATTGAGGCTGCTCTCAGATCTGTGACTTGGGCCTTGATCCTTTATGGCATTTCTTGACACCCTTTCCTGCCCTCCCCACGATTGCTGCCTTCTCAACCTGCACGAGCCAGCCAGGATGATGGTGACTGATACTCTCCAGTCTCTGTCCATTGCAGCATGATTTGTAATAATAAAGAGTGAGAATAACAGACATATTGAACAATAAAGGGGAATTTGAATACATGATGTCTTTGTTTTTCAATGGAATCAGTTTGAAGAATTTCAAAAGAATTACAAAATGCTCACAAGATAATTTTAACTGACCCAAAAGCAAGATCAAACTGATTCTGTAGGTCAATTTTAATTGTGCATGTAGGTGTGTGTTTGGAAAAATAATCACTGTATCGAGCACCTATGATTAGAAGCCTATCTTGAACGTTACCTCACATGCTCATCTGAGACTAGCCAAGTATTCCTTGTTTTAAAGAGTCAGTTACCTTGTCAGTATATCTAATAAATGACAGTATCTACGCAGTCACCTTGAGTGCTTTAGGAATTAGGTGGGGAGGAAGATTAATTAATAAAGATAGATAATTTTTTTCTAAAAATGTTTACCTTTAGACATTTCTCTGGCTCCTCAAGACATCTCAGAGATTAAATTTCATCTGTTTTTTTTGTGTCCCAGGTTAAGGCTTTCCACCATTTTTCCTTGGGAGCACATGAGACAGCTGACATGCACAGATTGGACACACCTCCATGCACTGACAGATTATTCTGTGAGCTGTGTGTTTATCTAAAAGTCTTAATACCAAGGAAGATGAGGGAAAAAAAGCCATTGAAGGGCAACTGGAAATCTCTCCCACAGTGAACAGATATAAAAAGCCCCACGGGCTCTCAAGAAGAGCTTTCGGGAACTTTGAAAATGGATTCACATTCAGAAAATGCTGTTTTGTAACTCTTGTTTCTCACCCAGACCAAATCTGAGTTACAGGCAGTTCAAAACAAGCACAAACAGGGCTCGTGGTGTTACTAGGTTGGCTTATTTTCTGGAAATACAAGATCTTTCCAGAACTTCTTTATTAATTGATATGAGTAAAACTTTCCCCCTTTCCTGTCCATCAGACAGAAATAGTCACACCTCAGAAAATGACTAAGTGTTTTTGTAGTAAACCTCAGATGAAGACTTCAAGGAAGTGATTGGGGTGCCTCTTGCATGTGAATACTTTAAATATTATTTCAGCTCCAGCGTTTATTACAGTCCCTGTAAGCTTCTCAGAGGTAAAATGCAATAATCCAATAGTCAACCAAGTGGTGACTTGGAAATGGTATTTATGCTCAGCCTTCCACTTGTTATGTTGTTTTCCCAAACACCCCTCATCAGGTTGAGAAGCTAAATGCCAAGACGTCACCCTGGCCTCCTTTCTCCAAGGTCAGATACTGTCAGTCTGGGTTAGGTTCCAGGAACCTGTATTTTCCAAAAGTTCTGAACATGATTTTAGTATGTTTAAGACTTGAAGTCCGCAAGCTTGTCAGGGAAACATTATACTACGTTGTAAATAATTATATTGATAAATTAACATACAGAGGCAGAATGCTATGAATTAACAACTATAATATTTAGAAATGTTTTTCAGCAATGCTGTTAAAAGAATTTTGCTGTATGTATAATAAAAGTTAATAACCCTTAATAACCCACTTATTGTTAGCTGGGCATGGTAGCACGCACCCTGTAGTCCTAGCTACTCGGGGGCTGACGTGGGAGGACTGGTTGAGCCTGGGAGGTTGAGGTTGCAGTAAAACGTGATCGCATCACTGCACTCCAGCCTGGGTGACAGAGCAAGACCCTATCTCATAATAATAATAATAATAATAATCTACTTATTAAACTACCGATAAGTAGCTCTTGCTATATGTAAAAATATATGGAGGTGCATCTCATTTTATGTAAGAACTAAATGAAAATCTTGCATATTTTATTGGTTACTGACCCACCATTAAGAATCATAATTATAATCATTGATACTAGTATAGACAATCTGAAAATAGGGCAGTTTGTAAGAGATAGTGTCTGTTAGCATTTAACTGGGAAAATGAAAAACTCTTCAAGCATGTACACAAAGGAAACTCATTGCAGGGAGAGGGTAACATGGGCGCGGAAGGAACTGAGAAGCCACATTGAGGCAGCAGATAACCCGGGGATTTGCAACAGCAGGAAACGACTGCTGCCCTTAGGCTGGGGGCAAGAGAAGGAAGTAATGCCACCTGGGACCTGGAGCCGCTCCATCTAATGGAAGCTGGAACCACCTCAGGTGTGTCTGTATGGTCAGAGCAGGATTCACAATGGGGTGCAGGTGCTAACAGACATACCACATAAGGCTGTTGGGGAGGAGAGCAATGCCCCACCCTCTCCCTCCCAGCCCTCCAGTCTCTCATCAATTAGCTGAACCCAATGGAAAGCCAATGGACCTGGGAGCCCGGGAAGCACAGACCGGGAGTCAACCCTCCTGGATACAGAGCAAGGCAGGGGCAGGATGAGGAATGGATCTGTGGGCAGCAGACAGAGAGAGGCCCAGCATAGAGAGTCAGAGATGCTGTGAAGGTAAGTACCTGGGTGATTAAAGGTGTAAAGAGAGGGGAAAGATGGTCAAAAACCAAGAAGGTTGACAAAGTTTAATTACGGGCCAAGACAGAATTATTGACTATGAACTTCAAACTGGAACAACAGGCAGAGATCAGGCTTTCTGCTTCTGCTATGAATTAGACCCTCAAGCATTAAAAAATACTGAAAACATATAATATATTGTGTAAGGATAAAACATATATTGTGAACCCCAATAATCTGAGACAGGTCTCAGTTAATTTAGAAAGTTTATTTTGCCAAATTTGAGGATCTGCACCCCTGACACAGCCTCAGGAGGTCCTGATGACATGTGCTCAAGGTGGTCAGAGCACAGTTTGGTTTTATACATTCAAGGAAGACATGAGACATCAATCAACATATGCAAGATGAACATTGGTTCAGTCTGGAAAGATGGGACAACTAGAACCAAAAGCAGGAAGACTCAAGCAGGGAGGGGGCTTCCAGGTCATAGGTAGATAACAGACAAATGGTTGCATTCTTTTGAGTTTCTGATGAGCTTCTCTAAAGGGGGAATCAGATATGCATTTGTCTCAGTGAGCACAGGGGTGACTTTGAATAGAAGGGGAGGCAGGTTGGCCCTAAGCAGTTCCCAGCTTAACTTTTCCCTTTGCCCTAGTGATTTGGGGACCCGAAGGTTTATTTTCCTTTCACAATATCAAAAGTCATACTGATGTGGTCACTATTAAGAATTGTTCTTGTGTTCTTATTGTTCAGTTCCCACCTATGAGTGAGAACATGCGGTGTTTGGTTTTTTGTCCTTGCGATAGTTTGCTGAGAATGATGGTTTCCAGCTTCATCCATGTCCCTACAAAGGACGTGAACTCATCATTTTTTATGGCTGCATAGTATTCCATGGTGTATATGTGCCACATTTTCTTAATCCAGTCTATCATTGTTGGACATTTGGCTGGGTGCAGCACACCAACATGGCATATGTATACATATGTAACTAACCTGCACGTTGTGCACATGTACCCTAAAACTTAAAGTATAATAATAAAAAAAAAGAATTGTTCTTTATTTCAAACATCTCATGACTGTCAGGTTTCAGAAATATAAATTAGTCTGAGGTATATTATACATAATAGAGAAAAGAAAGATGGAAAAGGATATCTGATTTTCTTAGAATCACTTGTAAGTAACTCGGTTGAGAGTGAATAATTTTTCTTACGTATAATGAACTTTTATTAACATTCTTTTTTTTTTTTTTGAGATGGAGTTTCACTCTTGTTGCCCAGGCTGGAGTGCAATGGCACGATCTCGGCTCACTGCAGCCCCCGCCTCCCGGGTTCAGGCAATTGTCCTACCTCAGCCTCAGGAGTAGGTGGGATTACAGGCACCAGCCACCATGCCCGGCTAAATTTTTTTTCTTTTTTGTATTTTTAGTAAAGATGTGGTTTCTCCATGTTGGCCAGTCTGCTCTCGAACTCCTGGTCTCAGGTGATCCACCTGCCTCGGCCTCCCAAAATACTAGGATTACAGGCGTGGGTCACTGCGTCTGACCCTAGTATTCTTCTTTTCTTTTGTCTGTCACAGCGAATTTAAATGGACAACACTTCTGATTTATAATCAGTTTTATTTTCTTATTCTTTGAGTTTTTTTTAATGTCCAATACTTCAAATAATGTCCAATAACATCTGATACTTCAAATAATTCTATATTTTATGAAACTCAATTTGGAGATAAGATATATTAACTTCATTGCTAAGCTTCATTGAAATGTTTAGTCTTAGAATTTGCATTTTTATGCTAGTTTGGAAATTTACATCTATATTATATTAGAAATGCTAGTTTCTGGATGGTCTATAGATAAGGAAAATAATGAAAGAAGAGAAGAGAAGAGAAAAGGAGGGGAGGGGAGAGGGAGGGGAGGGGAGGGGAGGAGAGGAGAGGAGAGGAGAGGAGAGGAGAGGAGAGGAGAGGAGAGGAGAAGAGAGGAGAGGAGAGGAGAGGAGAAGAGAGGACAGGAGAGGAGAGGACAGGAGAGGAGAGGAGACAGAAGAGAAGAGAAAAGGCATCCAAGCAAGGATTTGAATCCCTTCAAAATCTATTGATTGAAATGCAGGTAAATAATAGCTACACTAAGGAAAAGAACTATAACCTATTCAAAGAAAATACTTTTACTTTAAAAAGTCATTGGCTAACCTTGTTTATATCAACTTATTTTTTACCTTATAAAATATACTTTGTATCAGATAGGTAGACTAAATTTGTTTTTTTCTAATCTCCGTATGTGCAAAAACATCTTTGTACTATGTCATTCTGCTCACAGATTTACTTCTAAACTTTCTTTGCCACAAATATCTTAAAATAAAAATTATTTAAATGTTAGTTTCTGTCTTGCTGTGGTTGTGAAAAACATGATCTTACATGACCCAACAAGAAAAACATGATCTTACAGACCCAACAAGCTCAGTGATCTCTAACAGAATAAAAACAAAACACATTCGGCTTTAAGCATATCATAGGCAAACTTCTAAAAACTAGAGGCAAAGAGAAAATCTTGAAAGCAGACAGAAAGAAATGACACATTACATAAGGGAACAAGAATTATTTCTAACTTTTCATAAGAAGAAATTTCCCCCAAATTGATTTATAAATTTCATCCAATCCTTATCAAAATTGTAGCATTTTTGGTAGGCATTGACAGATTCTAAGATGTATATGGAAATTGAAAGGATTTACAGTTGCCAAAACAATCTAGAAAAAGAACAGTAAAGCTAAAGAGCCTATCTACCTTACTTTAATACTTTCTATACAGCTACAACTGAAAAGTTAGCATGGTATTGGCATAAATATAGAAAACAAAATCAATGGAACAGAATAAAGAGTCCAGAAATAGACCTAAATTCATATGGTCAATTTATTTACAAGTGAGACACCAAAGCAACTGAATGGGAAAGTGTAAGTCATTAAGTAATTGGAGATGGAACAGTTACATATACGTACAGAATAAAACATACCTGGAAGCATATCTCACATTGCATATAAAAGTAAATTCATGGTGGATTATAGGCCTAAATGTAAAAATTAATACTATAAAACTTCTAGGAAAAGCATAGGAGAATATCTTCAAGACCTAGCAGACAAATATTTATTAGACAGGATCCAGAAATCACTAACTATAAAAGAAAATATTGATTAGCTACACTTCATCAAAATAAAAAATTTCTCATTAAAAAACACTGTTAAGAAAATGAAAGGGTGAGCCACAGACTGGGCAAAACTATTTGCAATACCTAAATCTAAAACAGAACCTGTATCCAGAATGTATAAAGAATCCCTTCAATTTAATAATAAAAAGACAACCCATTAAAAACATGGGCAAAACAACTTGAATAGACACTTTACAAATACATTTGTGTTAATAGTCAATAAGCACATGACAAATACCCAATGTGTTGTCATCATCAGGGAAATGCAAATTAAAATCATTAAGAGATATCACTATAGAGCCACTAAAATTGCTAAAATTTAAAATATTGAACAATCAGAAGCGGCATACATTGCTGGTAGGAATGTAAAGTGGTAAAACAATTTTGGAAAAAATTTAACAGTTTCCCATAAGGTCTTTCCCCTACTACCCAGCAATTGCACTCCTAAATATTTACCTAAGAGAAATGAAAGTATGTGCCCACACAAAGACTTGTAAACAAGCATTTACAGCAGCTTTCTTTATAGTAGCCCAAAACTGGAAATAACCAAAACATCTACCAACGGTTGAATAGATCAACTTCAGAAAGATCAAAAAGCCAGTGTATTCAGTTAAATAAAGGGCCCTTTTAAGAGAGTAAAGGTATACGTCAATCACGTCAAAGAGCCTCTAGGGAGAACTAGGGTATCCTTCAGCCATTTCCACAGAAGCTAAAGAGAGTGAACTGATTACCTTGAAAAGATCTGTGGATGTGGCTTTTATCAAATACAGTGACATCCAGTGAAATTCACCAAAGACCCACTGACCTTTTTTTTTTCTTTTTTCTTTTTTTTTTTTTTTTTTTTTTTGAGACGTCGTCTCGCTCTGTCACCCAGGCTGGAGTGCAGTGGCGCGATCTCGGCTCACTGCAAGCTCCGCCTCCCGGGTTCACTCCATTCTCCTGCCTCAGCCTCCCGAGTAGCTGGGACTACAGGCGCCCGCCAACACGGCCGGCTAATTTTTTGTATTTTTAGTAGAGACGGGGTTTCACCGTGTTAGCTAGGATGGTCTCGATCTCCTGACCTTGTGATCCGCCTGCCTCCACCTCCCACAGTGCTGGGATTACAGGCGTGACCGACTTCTTAAGAAAATTGTTCCAGCGGAAAAACTGCCAGCTTGGGCTGAAAGAGACACAGTAAGAAACGAAAAGATGCTATTGAATCCGCAAAATTCTCTGTCAGGGAGCAAGCTGACAAAACTACTCAACTGCAAACAGGAGCTACCTTTCATGAAAAAGGAAAGATGATTCCTAGGATGGAATCACAAGCCCCGGGGGGAGATCCAAGAGCCTGGGAAAATTATTCTGCAATCTTGAAATCTAATCAAGAAACTTCTATTTGCTCAGATGCATTTTGGAATTGCCTTTAACAGGTGGCTTTTACCTTTCATTTCTCCATTTTTTGAACGCAAAGTCTGCAGCTGTGATTCTATGCCTATCCTACCACTGTATGTTGGGAGCAAATAATTTGTAGTTTTAGTTTCACATATCAGCAAATGAAGAGAAGTGGTGCCCCAGTAGCTGTACGCAATGGATTACACCTAACAGCCTCATTTCCATTTGGTACTGATTTAGATTTTAGATTTGAGCTGATAAAATATAGATGAGATTTTAGGCTTTGAACTAATGCTGTAAATGAGACTTGCGACTTTTGGAGATGTTGATGTAGTTTGCATTTGGGATAAATAAATCATTGAGGGCCAGAGGGTGGATTGTGGTAGGGAGAATTCTAATAGCATCTCCAAGATTCCCACCCCATGTGTCATCCCCCTTCCCTAGAATGTGGATGGGAACTGTGAATGTGAGAAGATACAGCCGTGATTGGGTAGCAAATCAGTTGACTTTGAGTTAACCATAAGGGAGAACATCCTGGGTGGATATGATCTAGCCAGGCAGGTCCTTATAGAGAAAAGAAGCAACAGTAGCCGTGCTCCTGCTGGCTGGAAGGAAGGAAACAAATGGTCATCTTCTGAACTTCCTGAAGGGACCACATCATAGGGAGCTACCAGCAGCCTCCAGGAGCTAAGAGCAGTGCCTGTTAACAGCAATCAGGAAAATGGGACTTCAGCCATACAACTGCAATGAAACGACTCTAGCCACCAGTGAGCTTGGAAGAGAACCCTGCACCTGAGATGAGATTAGCAGCCCTGGCCCACAGCTCCCTTTCAGCCTGGTGAGATGCCAAGCACAGAACCCAGCTGAGCCCTCTTGACTCCTGACTCATGGACACCGTTTTAAGCTACTGCATTTGCAATCACCTGTTATGCAGTATAGAAAACCGATGTTTTACTTAAAGAGGTGATCTTTGGAAAATAATTATGGATCTGTTTCCTTTCTCTTCCTCAAAATCATGCAAAACGTGCAACTGAAACTGAGACAGGGATGAATGACATCCTTCACCCAGCAGCTCCTCAATCCTGAGAATGGCAAACATGCAGAGGGGATGCATGTAGCCTTTTAGCAAATGTTAAAACTCTCCTATTTGAAGATAGATGGCTGAGTGGATGGATAGATGGACAGATGATGGAGGTGAGGGCTTTGCCAGGAGTTTGCTGCCTGAGTTGATTAAGGTGCTGTGCCTGCAGAGGTTTTCATAATCGTTCCCTACTTCAGACTTAGCAGTCTCTATTTCATTCTCACCAGATTTTCTCTCCAAAGTGAGATCATTTGACCATGATTGGGAGATAAAAAAGGTAAAGTATTTTTTTTTCTAATGTCATCCCTGTGGCAAACCCATTGTCTATGATGTATCTGGGTTCAGAATATCCTACGAGCCTGCCTTCATGCTAATGCCTTGCTTCACCTGCCTGGACTGGACCACTCCCATGTATTAATGGCACCTTGATTAAGGGATGACTCCAGACACTACTGTTTTCAATGGACCATTTGACTGAAGGCACAGAGGATTTTGCATCCTGGGGCAATGCATCCTGTTAAGATACCAGATGGGTGAGAATTCACAGAGGTTTTTGCAGCCTGGAGCAACGCATCCTGTGAGGATCCCAGGTGGGTGAGAGTTCTACCTTTCTTTGAGAAAATAAGAGAAGGGTGATTGTGAAGAGAAATGGCAAAAAAAGAAAAGCATGAGAAGTTGCCCCAAATGCATTCTCAGACATCATCTTTGGGGAAAGGACACATGAAACTCGAGTCAAGAATCTGGACATTAACTCTTTTAATACTACCAGGCCCTTGTACCACCTGAAAAGACTTCTTGAAGCCTAAGTCTCCACTTTGGAAATTGAAAATCAAGATATTTCTGAATAAAAAGCTGAGAAATGTAACTGCTAAAAGCATGAGCCAGGGCAAAACAGGTCTTCCCCAGTTCTCCTGACTTAAAAGAGATATTTTAAAACAATTACTGGAAATTACTACCAGAGACCTTGATTTGAAACAACCAAGGTCTTTAGTTTCATTTTAGCTAGACATCAGAAAGTTTTGTGGGGTGTGCATGGGGGATGTGTACGTCTGTCTGTTCTTCAGTGTGTCTCCGTGTAAGTATTCTGAATAAAAAAAGGAAACTGCTACCTGAGCTGAGTTGATAATACAGTTTCAAATATTTATGCATTAGTTAAATCTTCTCTAACATAGGGGCTCCTGTGTGAATCTGGACACAAGACCCCACTCACAGATAGTGTCCAGTCTAACTGCCCCATTGCCCTATAGTAAAAACCTGAGCATAAGAGTTACTATTGCTTCGTGACTCAAAATATGATCATCCAAAAGGCAAATAAATTCAAGGAGATGACTTCTTTTTTGATGAGATTTTAAAAAACAACAATGAACATTTTTGCCAATTCTAGTTTTGGTGAATGGCAATAGGAAGGTAATATAATTTCAGGACTCAATAACATTGTAGACCTACTCTTTATGGCAATATGGATGGAAAGAAGTTTATGTCACGCCTCTGAGCCCAAGCCAAGCCATCGCATCCCCTGTGACTTGCACGTATACCCAGATGACCTGAAGTAACTGAAGAATCATAAAAGAAGTGAATATGCCCTGCCCCACCTTAACTGATGACATTCCACCACAAAAGAAGTGTAAATGGCTGGTCCTTGCCTTAAGTGATGACATTACCTTGTGAAAGTCCTTTTCCTAGCTCATCCTGACTCAAAAAGCACCTCCACTGGGCACCTTGCGACCCCCACTCCTGCCCGCCAGAGAACAAACCCCCTTTGACTGTAATTTTCCTTTACCTACCCAAATCCTATAAAACGGCCCCACCCCCATCTCCCTTCACTGACTCTATTTTTGGACTCAGCCTGCCTGCGCCCAGGTGAAATAAACAGCCATATTGCTCACACAAAGCCTGTTTGGTGGTCTCTTCACACGGACACGCATGAAATTTGGTGCCGTGACTCGGATCGGGGGACCTCCCTTGGGAGATCAATCCCCTGTCCTCCTGCTCTTTGATCCATGAGAAAGATCCACCTATGACCTCAGGTCCTCAGACCGACCAGCCCAAGAAACATCTCACCAATTTCAAATCCGGTAAGCAGCCTCTTCTTACTCTCTTCTCCAACTTCCCTCACTATCCCTCAACCTCTTTCTCCTTTCAATCTTGGTGCCACACTTCAATCTCTCCCTTCTCTTAATTTCAATTCCTTTCATTTTCTGGTAGAGACAAAGGAGACATGTTTTATCCGTGGACCCAAAACTCTGGCACCGGTCACGGACTGGGAAGGCAGCCTTCCCTTGTTGTTTAATCATTGCAGGGACGCCTCTCTGATTATTAACCCACGTTTCAAGGGTGTCAGACCATGCAGGGATGCCTGCCTTGGTCCTTCACCCTTAGCAGCAATTCCCGCTTTTCTGGGGAAGGGGCAAGTACCCCAACCCCTTCTCTCCTTGTCTCTACCCCTTCTCTGCTTTTCCAGGGACAGGGCAAGTACCCCAACCCCTTCTCTCCTTGTCTCTACCCCTTCTCAGCTTTTCTTGGAGAGGGGCAAGTACCCCTCAACCCCTTCTCCTTCACCCTTAGCGACAAGTCCCGCTTTTCTGGGGGAGGGGCAAGTACCACTCAACCCCTTCTCCTTCACTCTTAGTGGCAAGTCCCGCTTTTCTAGAGGAGGGGCAAGTACCCCAACCTCATATCTCTGTGCCCCAATCCCTTATTTCCATGCCCCAACCTCATATCTCTGCACCCCAATCCCTTATTTCCATGCCCCAACCTCATATCTCTGCACCCCAATCCCTTATTTCCACGCCCCGACCTCTTATTTCTGCGCCCCATCCCTTATTTCCGTGCCCTGACCTCTTATCTCTGAGCCCCAACCCCTTTTCCCACTTTTCTGGAAGGTAAGAACCCCTGAACCCCTTCCTTCCATTTCTCTACTCTCTCTTTTCTCTAGGCTTGCTTCCTTCACTATGGGAAACTTCCACCCTCCATTCCTCCTTCTACTCCCTTGGCCTGTGTTCTCAAAAACTTAAAACCTCAACTCACACCTGACCTAAAACCTAAATGCCTTATTTTCTTCTGCAATGTCTCTTGACCCCAATACAAACTCGACAGTAGTTCCAAATAGCCAGAAAATGGCACTTTGAATTTTTCCATCCTGCAAGATCTAAATAATTCTTGTTGTAAAATAGGCAAATGGTCTGAGGTGCCTGATGTCCAGGTATTCTTTTACACATCAGTCCCTTCCTAGTCTGTGCCCATTGCAACTCGTCCCAAATCTTCCTTCTTTCCCTCCCGCCTGTCCCCTCAGTACCAACCCCAAGCGTCACTGAGTCTTTCTAATCTTCCTTTTCTACAGACCCATCTGACCTCTCCCTTCCTCCCCAGGCTGCTCCTTGCCAGGCCGAGCTAGGTCCCAATTCTTCCTCAGCCTCTGCTCCTCCACCCTGTAATCCTTTCATCACCTCCCCTCCTCACACCTGGTCCGGCTTACAGTTTCGTTCAGTGACTAGCCCTCCCCCTCCTGCCCAGCAATTTACTCTTAAAACGGTGGCTGGAGCTAAAGGCATAGTCAAGGTTAATGCTCCTTTTTCTTTATCCCAAATCAGAAGCGTTTAGGATCTTTTTCATCAAATATAAAAACCCAGCCCAGTTCATGACTCCTTTGGCAGCAACCCTGAGACACTTTACAGCCCTAGACCCTAAAAGGTCAAAAGGCCGTCTTATTCTCAATATACATTTTATTACCCAATCTGCTCCCGACACTAAATAAAACTCCAAAAATTAAATTCCAGCCCTCAAACCCCACAACAGGATTTAATGAACCTCGCCTTCAAGGTGTACAATAATAGAAAAAAGTTGCAATTCCTTGCCTCCACTGTGAGACAAACCCCAGCCACATCTCCAGCACCCAAGAACTTCCAAACGCCTGAACCACAGCGGCCAGGCGTTCCTCCAGAACCTCCTCCCACAGGAGCTTGCTACATGTGCCGGAAATCTGGCCACTGGGCCAAGGAATGCCCGCAGCCCGGGATTCCTCCTAACCTGTGTCCCATCTGTGTGGGACCCCACTGAAAATTGGACTGTTCAACTCACCTGGCAGCCACTCCCAGAGGCCCTGGAACTCTGGCCCAAGGCTCTCTGACTCCTTCGCAGATCTTCTCGGCTTAGCGGCTGAAGACTGACGCTGCCGGATCGCCTCGGAAGCCCCCTAGACCATCACGGACGCCGAGCTTCCGGTAACTCTCACAGTGGAAGGTAAGCCCGTCCCCTTCTTAATCAATACGGAGGCCACCCACGCCACATTACCTTCTTTTCAAGGGCCTGTTTCCCTTGCCTCCATAACTGTTGTGGATATTGACGGCCAGGCTTCTAAACCTCTTAAAACTCCCCAACTCTGGTGCCAACTTAGACAATACTCTTTTAAGCACTCCTTTTTAGTTATCCCCACCTGCCCAGCTCCCTTATTAGGCTGAGACACTTTAACTAAATTATCTGCTTCCCTGACTATTCCTGGACTACAGCTATGTCTCATTGCCGCCCTTCTTCCCAATCCAAAGCCTCCTTTGTGTCCTCCTCTTGTATCCCCCCACCTTAACCCACAAGTATAAGATATCTCTACTCCCTCCTTGGCGACCGGTCATGCACCCCTTACCATCTCATTAAAACCTAATCACCCTTACCCCACTCAACGCCAATATCCCATCCCACAGCACGCTTTAAAAAGATTAAAGCCTGTTATCACTCGCCTGCTAAAGCATGGCCTTTTAAAACCTATAAACTCTCCTTACAATTCCCCCATTTTACCTGTCCTAAAACCAGACAAGCCTTACAATTTAGTTCAGGATCTGCGCCTTATCAACCAAATTGTTTTGCCTATCCACCCCATGGCGCCAAACCCATATACTCTCCTATCCTCAATACCTGCCTCTACAACCCATTATTCTGTTCTAGATCTCAAACATGCTTTCTTTACTATTCCTTTGCACCCTTCATCCCAGCCTCTCTTCACTTTCATTTGGACTGACCCTGACACCCATCAAGCTCAGCAAATTACCTAGGCTGTACTGCTGCAAAGGTTCACAGACAGCCCCCATTACTTCAATCAAGCCCAAATTTCTTCCTCATCTGTTACCTATCTCTGCATAATTCTCATAAAAACACACGTGCTCTCCCTGCCAATCGTGTCCGACTGATCTCTCAAACCCAAGCACCTTCTACAAAACGACAACTCCTTTCCTTCCTAGGCATGGTTAGCGCGGTCAGAATTCTTACACAAGAGCCAGGACAACACCCTGTAGGCTTTCTGTCCAAACAACTTGACCTTACTGTTTTAGCCTAGCCCTCATGTCTGCATGCAGCGGCTGCCACTGCTTTAGTACTTTTAGAGGCCCTCAAAATCACAAACTGTGCTCAACTCATTCTCTACAGTTCTCCTAACTTCCAAAATCTATTTTCTTCCTCATACCTGATGGATATACTTTCTGCTTCCTGGCTCCTTCAGCTATACTCACACTTTGTTGAGCCTCCCACAATTACCATTGTTCCTGGCCCAGACTTCAATCCGGCCTCCCACATTATTCCTGATACCACACCTGACCCCCATGACTATCTCTCTGATCCACCTGACATTCACCCCGTTTCCCCAAATTTCCTTCTTTCCTATTCCTCACCCTGATCATGCTTGATTTATTGATGGCGGTTCCACCAGGCCTAATCGCCACACACCAGCAAAGGCAGGTTTTGCTATAGTACAAGCCACTAGCCCACCTCTTAGAACCTCTCATTTCTTTTCCATCGTGGAAATCTATCCTCAAGGAAATAACTTCTCAGTGTTCCATCTGCTATTCTACTACTCCTCAGGGATTATTCAGGCCTCCTCCCTTCCCCACACATCAAGCTCGAGGAATTGCCCCACCCAGGACTGGCAAATTAGCTTTACTCCACATGCCCTGAGTCAGAAAACTAACATATCTCTTGGTCTAGGTAGACACTTTCACTGGATAGGTACAAGCCTTTCCTACAGGGTCTGAGAAGGCCACCGCAGTCATTTCTTCCATTCTGTCAGACATAATTCCTCAGTTTAGCCTTCCCACCTCAATACAGTCTGATAACAGATGAGCCTTCATTAGTCAAATGAGCCAAGCAGTTTTTCAGGCTCTTAGTATTCAGTGAAACCTTTATATCCCTTACGGTCCTCCATCTTCAAGAAAAGTAGAAAGGACTAATGGTCTATTAAAAACACACCTCACCAAGCTCAGCCACCAACTTAAAAAGGACTGGACAATACTTTTACCACTTTCCCTTCTCAGAATTCAGGCCTGTCCTTAGAATGCTACAGGGTACAGCCCATTTAAGCTCTTGTATAGACGCTCCTTTTTATTAGGCCCCAGTCTCATTCCAGACACCAGACCAACTTGGACTGTGCCCCAAAAAACTTGTCATCCCTACTATCTTCTGTCTAGTCATACTCCTATTCACCGTTCTCAACTACTCATACATGCCCTGCTCTTGTTTACACTGCTGGTTTACACTGTTTTTCCAAGCCATCACAGCTGATATCTCCTGGTGCTATCCCCAAACTGCCACTCTTAACTCTTGAAGTAAATAAATAATCTTTGCTGGCAGGACTATGCTGAATCTCCTTAGGCACTCTCTAATCAGATATCCTGAGTCATCCCAATTCTTAGACATTTTATACCTGTTTTTCTCCTTCTGTTATTCCATTTAGTTTCTCAATTCATCCAAAACCGTATCTAGGCCATCACCAATCATTCTATATGACAAATGTTTCTTCTAACATCCCCACAATATCACCCCTTACCACAAGACCTCCCTTCAGCTTAATCTCTCCCACTCTAGGTTCCCAAGCCACCCCTAATCCCGCTTGAAACAGCCCTCAGAAACATCGCCCATTCTCTCTCCATACCACCCCCCAAAAATTTTCGCTGCCCCAACACTTCAACATTATTTTGTTTTATTTTTCTTATTAATATCAGAAGGCAGGAATGTCAGGCCTCTGAGCCCAAGCCAAGCCATCACATCCCCTGTGACTTGCACGTATATGCCCAGATGGCCTGAAGTAACTGAAGAATCACAAAAGAAGTGAATATGCCCTGCCCCACCTTAACTGATGACATTCCACCGCAAAAGAAGTGCAAATGGCCAGTCCTTGCCTTAAGTGATGACATTACCTTGTGAAAGTCCTTTTCCTGGCTCATCCTGGCTCAAAAAGCACCCCCACTGAACACCTTGCGACCCCCACTCCTGCCCGCCAGAGAACAAACCCCCTTTGACTGTAATTTTCCTTTACCTACCCAAATCCTATAAAACGGCCCCACCCCTATCTCCCTTCACTGACTCTCTTTTCGGACTCAGCCTGCCTGCACCCAGGTGAAATAAACAGCCATGTTGCTCACACAAAGCCTGTTTGGTGGTCTCTTCACACGGACGCGCATGAAAGTTTGTGTAAAGATTTATTATACCAAAACTCTGTGAGCAGTTCATTAACCTTCAAGGAACTACCATGTATTACATTCAAAGACAAAGAAAATCAAAACTTTATCTATCTTGGGGCAGCCACGATATTGAAGACAGGTCCGTAGTATTTTCTTGATTCTGAACATTAATTTTGAGCTCTTTCAGAGAAGTAGAGGAAGATGCAACATGGAATGTCCTTTATACATCATTATAACTCCTCCCTGGCTTTCTAGCTTGCCCTGAGGTGACCCACGTTTTAATATGCAACTTGAAAGTCTGTTTAATTTAGAAAGAGTCATGACCAGGAATTTTCAGAGCAAATTTTAAAAGTCATGATGGGGACTGGAAACTAGACCTAAACTTGAAAGATGTTTGTCAGCAAGGTTTTATTGTATTCCATTCGAATCTGCAAGCAGACAAAGCACCAATGATAACGTAGCACCAGCAATAACAATTATAGTAATAATATCTGCCATTTTTGACCATTATCCTGCAATAAGCATTGTGCTTGATATGCATGATTTCGTGCAAGTCTCACACTAACCCTTTGAGGAGACAATACATTTTGTATCCTCATTTTATATACAGAACAAATGGTAGGAGAATTGGGTTATAACAAGGAATCAATAAACAATGTAAATGCATGCTATATGATAGTAGTAGTATCTTCACATTGAAAATAATTTGGCTTCAGTAAAACACATTTTAATCTGTCCTGTTAAATTGCTAATTCTACACTTAATCTTAATTTTTAAGTTTCATGTTTAAGGACTATGAACAGAAGGGTTTTAAATCTTAGGTTTAAATAATAAAAACTAATTCAGTCAGTAATCAGATATATATATATATATATATATATATATATATATATATATATATATATATAGAAAGAGAGGGGAAGAGAGAGAGAGAGCATAATATTGTGATTTATTTTAAGGAATCTGCATTTTACTCAAATTTATGAAGCATTGGAGTACACACTGATAGCTGCAAGAAGACAAAAGCAATGGCCAGGTGTGGTGGCTCACGCCTGTAATCCCAGCACTTTGGGAGGCTGAGGTGGGCAGATCACTTGAAATCAGGAGTCTGAGATTAGCCTGGCCAACATGGTGAAACCCCATCTCTAATAAAAATACAAAAATTAACCAGGCGTGGTGGCACATGCCTGTAATCCCACTTACTTGGGAGGCTGAGGCAGGAGAATCGCTTGATCCTGGGAGGCAGAGGTTGCAGTGAGCCCAGATCACACCACGGCACTCCAGCCTGGCTGATAGACCAAGAGTCCCTCTCAGAGAAATAAAAAAAAAAAAACAAAAAAAAAAAAACAAGAACTGATTATGCTAATCCTGGAGGAAAGAGATCGATGGTAAAGAAATAAAGAAACATGTCAAAAGAGTACTCAGTCATCTAAAAGCCTCCTGCCCAGAAGAGTTGTTGCATTTTTCTTCATGGCCCCAACTGCTAGAATTACAATTAATGGGTGGAGGAAGCCACACACACATGGACCAACACACACATACACACATGCACCCACACATTTACACACACGCACACACACACACAGTTGTGGCAAAATTGAATGAGCTACCTTGGGTGGAAATGAACCTCCTTTCACTGGGGGCATTTCAACAAAGACTTCCATGACTAGTGTGGGCAAGAAGGGTTGACCAGAACATTAAGACCCCTTACTGTGCTAGGATTCTCTGCCTCTTAGGGGAAGAGTGTTGAAGCTGGGAAGTCAGAATTAATGTCACCATTTTGCCATGACTAGATCTGTTTGTGTTGAAACCTCAAAAAAATAGGCAGTATCTTGAAGACACAGAGACACCAACCAGGGGAGGGAAAGTACTTGTTTTTTCCAAGGAACTCCTTAACAACGACAAGGGGGTAGAGGAAGGAAAGTATTAATAACTGGGCTGATGACATGTGAATGACAATAGAACAGCCTCTCATGCCTTGCAGATGATAATCTCCCCAGTGACCTTTCTCCTTGCTACACGTTTTCACAGAGAATCCAGCTCCCCAAACCTCCTTTCCGCAACTCACCACACTCCCACCTAAGACATGCATTAAATTGGCTCATTCCTCATGCCAGAGAAGTCTAGATAGGAGAAAATGAGTCTTTATTGGCAAGAAAGAGCCAGCAGACAGATAGCAGATGAATGGGAAGGAAAGATCACTCGGCTATTTTAAGAGAACTGACAGGAGGCGGGTACAGTGGCTTATGCCTGTAATCCCAGCACTTTGGGAAGCCAAGGCGGGCAGATCACTTAAGATCAGGAGTTCGAGACCAGCCTGGCCAACGTGGTGAAACCTTATCTCTACTAAAATTACAAAAAGTAGCCAGGCATGGTGGTGCACGCCTGTAATCCCAGCTACTTGAAAGGCTGAGGCAGGAGAATCACTTGAACCTGGGAGGTGAAGATTGCAGTGAGCCAAGATCGTGCCACTTCATTCCAGCCTGGGCGACAGAGTGAGATTCCATCTCAAAAAAAAGAGCGAGAACTGACAGGAGATGCACAGATGAGCATCTCTGAGAAGTGAAAGAGCCCAGGTCACTGAAGCTGATGGAGACCTAGGGGAGCTTGGTGACAGTGGAAATGGCCACATTCGTGTCACGGTCCAGCATCTGTGGCAGAAAAATATAACAATCAATTAAAGTTACAGTAAATAAACAAATACAGACCAATTACATATCTTCCTCCTTTTCTGCAGTATAAAAAGCAGTGATCACCGTTTCCAAATTTTACAGGATGTTGATAAGTGGGAAAACATACTTCAAATTATTTTGTTTCCATAAAGAATGTACGTAATATTTCTGTAAAGTTGCATTGATTCAACATACCTAAACCTGATTTCTTGTATATAGTAAATAAAACAGTGCATATCTTATTTTTCCCTGGTTTATAAGTTATCAAAAAAATGGATAAAAAATTATGCCTGAGCGGTTGTGTATTTCCTCCATATAATGGTTCCGTATACACTCATCATAGCATACCCCCTCTGCCACCCAGTTTAATGTTGCAACCCTTGCCATTCCCTCTTACGGGTGTCATTCCTCTAACTCTGCTTTTTCTTTTCCCCATAATTACCCTCAAACGCAATGGATAACATACTTCTTTGCTTTGTTTATTGCTTGTCTCTTTCTGCTAGAATGAGGACTCCGTGAGGGCAGAGGGTCTCTGTCTGTGCTTTCCTTCATATTTCCCGTGTCCACAACAGAACCTGCCCCATGGGGCACTTGGTTCATATTTGTTGACTAATTAATTGCCCATTGTCTATTTTCCATCTGCTTTTAACACTCATTGTAGATCCCTTAAAGACAGAAACCATTTCTACTGTGCGACCCCAGCACTCAGTGAGCGCTTTAGCGACGTAGAATGGATGAGGAAAGAGAAAGCAGCAGCCCTTCGCATTCAGAAGCCGGCCTGGATCCCACAGCCAGGCCATGTTATTCTCCCACCAGACATCAACAGTCACACAGAACACCAACCTCAACGAAGCTTACTCTGAGGCCACTGTCAAATGAAATGAAGCAGGCCCACCTCCGTGATCTCAGACACCATCCTTTGTACTCAGTGTGGTTGTTCATCTGGGCACCATTTATAATTTCATAACTTCATAATTTTATAATTTTATTTATAAATTATAATTTTCATAACTTCATAATTTCATCTAAACACAAAGAAAAGCAAGGCCACTGTGCCACCCACAAATGTCAAACATCCCCTCTCTAGACTAACATGAGTGACTGCTACTTCTTTGCCAATTGCAGCTTTATCCTCAGTTTAGTCTCTCCTCTGCATACAGAAGATTGACTGAGATCATAGGCATAATCCACTCTAGAGAAACCTCTACTTCCTTAGAGCCCCCTCCCAGCTCACCCAGTCAAAGCCTAAATCCTATCATTGTTTGTTTTCAACACCTCTTACGGGGCCGCCCCATTTCCTCCGTGGTGTGTGTTCTCTCTTGCTGCAATAAGTCATAAGCCCAACTTTTAACTATAGGGGTGTTTCGGTGGCCTGTGACTGAGGGTCATTGATGGAATAAGTGAATTACTTAATTGATGCTAGCATTTCATAACACATCTGCCTTGGTATTCCTTGGGTATCTTAGACATTACAACTCCCCAAAGCCTTTTGAAGGAAAAGAGTTTTACCTCTTTGCTTCCCTAGCAAAATAGATGGATTCTTCCAACTCCAGGAAAACCTCAGGAGATTTAGCTCAATGGGATTTAGTCATCTGAAAGTAAACCCATAAGCCAGACATAAGGGATGTGAAAGACTTTTGAGTAATTTTTAAATTACAAAATTTGCTACATTATACATTGGTATAGGTATTTATTCACAACCACAAAGTTGTCACCTATAAAAACAATTTCAAGTTACGTCTCTAAGCCATAGCCAGCTACTTTTTCAAGGTATTGGTACATGGAAGATTTCAGCAGTTCTTCTAAGTACAAAGTAATGAGACAGAGTAGCCCACCTGTTACTCAGCCCACCCTGACTAATGTATTTTTCTATACATGTCTGCTGACCGCCAGAGCTTGCAGCACCCGCCAGCTGGCGCCACCCCCACTGATCAGATCTTGCAAACTGCGTGAAGAAGCTAACATCAGGAGCATTCCACTATAAATCTTACTCAAGGGAGTTAACCCTGTCACCTGCATGTGCACAAGACCATGAGAATGACCAATCCGGACCCTTGCCTCATTATAATACTAAAATCCCTGCCCGATGAGAGGCTTATCTGCCATGTGATATATGAAAAAGTATGTCTCTACACTGCCCTTGCATGGCTGAAATTCCTTCCAAATCATGTTTACATACCTTTTATTTAACGTTGACCCCTTTTCTTCCCCCAAATAAAAGATCCCAAGCAGCTCTTCCCAGGGAGCCAGCCAGGGAATCCTTCATCCTGTGCTGTCTCCCTTGTGCTCAAGCATAAGCCCTCAATAAAGCCTTGTCTGGGAAACTTGCTTGGCTTTGTGTCAATTTCTATTGCGTGGGAGCTTAAGAACCTGTGGTCCATAACAATAACAGGTCTTACTTTAACTCTGTGTTCTACAAACACAAACCACAATGAAGAGGGCTGGGAAGGAGTAGGGACTTGGAAGTCATTCTTAAAGAACATGGTGCCAATGCTGGACGCTAGTTAAAGTTGATGAGAACAGATTTTATTCAGTCTATTGCAAAGGGAAGTGTCCAGCATAAACTGAGTTCATCTTTTGTTCTGTGCACAGGTGACTGGGTGTTTCAAGGAAAGAATCAGAAAGTAGGAGTAGGGATGGAACATAGGCTCAGTGGAGTCAGGGAAGCAGAAACTTAAAAAAGCGGGAAGGAGGTGGTTGGTTTACGTGATTAGTCCATCTGTGTTTGTTAACTGGCGATTATCCAGTTAGGCTTCTGTCCTCCCATGGAGACTAGAAGGCAGGTGCCCTATCTTCAGGGGTTGGCTGGAACAAAAAGTAAATCATTCTGGCAGCCTTGAGTTTTCCCAGGCAGGAACTTAAGGAGCCTGGAGTCCTCATCCCAGGAGTGCATCCTTGAGCTATTAGGAACCGTGCTGTGACAGTGCTGACTCCTTGTTAGAGAAAAGCTTGCTTGAATGCAATTATTGCTTCGCTTGAGTTTGTGCATTATTTACTAATAACAGCTACAGGAAAACAAGATCTTCAACAGAGATAAAAGAAAATTTGCCAACCAACAGCTCTAAGAATGGGCTGACGAACCTGTAGAAGCTCACGAAACACTGATGAAGAAAGCAATGATTAACTGGCTGCCTATTGTGCACATTTCACAGAAATGTTTTGGTCATCATTTCCCCTAATTTCCCTTAAACCCCCCCTGGATCAAGATCCAGAAGCAAAGCTCCGAGAGGTGGTCTCTGAGTGCTAGTTCACTCCCTCCTCTGGTTTGCCGGCTTCTTGAATGAAGCGAACTTTCTTTTCACCAAAGCTCTCTTGAGTTTTTGGCTTTCAAGCAATGAGTAGCCCAGATCTGAGTTCGGTTACAATGATAGTGTTTGTTTGTGTCTCTTAGTGTGGGAATGGGTAGAAAAAATTGTCTGTGCTGAGAGTCAGCCATCCTCATGGGCCAAGGTTAAGGCCTAGTTGAGAAGATGGCTCAGAGGAGCCTTAGCTTAATCAAGAAGAGAGTCTTTGTCAGCGGGCATGTAACCAAGTATCCCCATTTATTAAGACAAAGAGAACGCGTTATTTTTTCATTATTATTTTCTTCTTTTCTCTTTTCTCCTTTTCCCATCTCCCCACTTCCTACTTAGCTCTTTAGAAATGCAATTATAACATTCTGCCTTCTCCAGATGTTCTTTACAAGGCAAGCTTATCTAACTGTATACTTACTTAGAGGCTCCAGAGCAGAAACCTCTCCCCAAGGAGATGCCTCAAGAAACAACAGTCAATTTACAACCCAAAGTATTCCCGGCATGAAACTCTCTCCCACCTGGAGCATATCTTGAGACAAGTCTGCTTTGCAACCTGGTTCTGCCTGTGATGGTGCCGGCTTGAGCAGTAGATAAAGCACCGAGGCAAGTCCCATGGACCCCCAGCTGCTCACTCCCTCCCCCGCATGCCGCTCATGCCAGGCCCCCTTTTAAAAGTGCCCACTTTCTCCTCCAAAATTGAAGCAGTACCCTTAAGGCAGGAAGCCTGGACTTCTTCCCGTAAGCTAGCTTTAGAATAAAATGTCACTTTCTTTATACCAGACCTTGCTCTTGTTGATTGGACTCTGCAGGTGGTGATCAAGTGAACCTGTGATTCGGTTACAGGGAGATTGACCAAGCAGCTCCGGAGCTCAGTTTCTCCCAAAAAGTATCGTATGTAGCTTCTCCCAACGTGGTGATGAGGTTACTCGTGGACACGTAAGTAGACATAGTAGTTATCTCCACACCTTCCATGCTACCCTCCCTCTACGTGTAGCACCCATGAAATTTGAGTGTCAGAGAAGGGCAGGGTGGAGAGACACATCAAAGACTAAAACCAGGACTCTGATTCAAGAGCTAGGCCTGCTCTGCCTCTAGCCGCTAGATCTCCCTTTTTGTTTAAGACAGTCTGAGTTTGCTTTTTGGTTACTTACAACTGAAACCATCCAAACTGAAATATAAATTTTAATATAATCTTTTGGGGTAAATAAGAGAACAAATCAAACATAATCAGAGGACAAACTCTTCATTTATTGTCAAGGGAACTGCAGCTGGAAAGAATAAATACAGAATGGTTTTGCAGTTTAATAGTTTGGTGCTTCATCCATAGAAGGGATAAATTTCCAAACCTATGATTCTATTTGGAAAGATGGTGGCTAAGTCGGGCCCAGTAGTGATCTCAGACACCATCCTTTGTATGCAATGTGGTTGTTCATCTGGGCACCGTTTATTATCCCCAGCAGTAATGGGTTGCTCTAAGCATATGTTAAAATATAGTTAGTGAATAATGACCCCTTTTAAATTCATGTACCTACATAATGTCAATTTATTTGAATACTTGGCTTAAAAACCATTGTATTGAACTAGGCATGGGCACATTGACATGCTACTGCCTTTTATAACCCTGGTCTCTCTACAAGCTCATCCATTATCTCCTAATTAAACAACAAAGGTTCCTTGGAAAGGAACCCCAGTTAGACATCATTACCAAGCATTTTGCCATCATTTGCTAGATTAATGAGACTAATTATACAACCTGCAGCGATGAGTCAAGACCTTGGCGAAACAGGAGAGATGAGGTATCCAAATCCTTTTGTAAATCGCTTTAAATCAAAGCAGTCCATCTCCTATTGATAGACTGGATTACTTCAAGTGTTAGTATCTCTCTTCCTCTCAGTCACTGCATGCTCTGAAAGGGGAATGGATGACTCATAACTCTTGGGAATTCACTCTCTGCCTCTCTGCGACAGCATTGGATCCATTTTCAGCTTTACAGCATTGAGCATGTGGGCTGGGTGAGAACACTAGATATTATATTGGGTCTTCTGGTTTCGATTAGAAGAGGAGATAAGAAGAAAACTCAGTGAAACATGCAGCACATGATTAAGAACCATTCTTATCTAAAAGAATTGGAAAGAAGATTAACATTGGTTCAAAAGGTGGACTCTGAGGGTAAACGACCAGGGCTCCTGGCCCCCTCTCCTTCCTACTTGTGCAACCATAGGGAAATTACTGCATTTAATGTTTTTAAGCCTCATTTTCCCATTCTGTAAAGTGGGAATAATAATAGTACCTTTCATACACTGTTGTCTTGAGAACTCAGTGTGAGAAGGTGCTCAGCCCCAGTGCTTATTAATGCTCAATAAATGTTAGCATATGGTTTCACAAAAAGGATAATGACACTGTTGTTTTAAAAAAAGCTAATATAGATATGTTTATACTTACATGTATTCTTACTGCAGTCTTAGTAGCATTTCAAAGGAGGGACTTGGACGTTTGTAAGATTTTGAAGTCTGAATTAAGATAGGTCTTTCAATGTGGGTGTGTAATTAGGATTGAGTAAAGATCAAGATATAATAGTTTAGGATTGGTAGATAAAGCAATTGTACGGGTTTCCAGGTAAGAGGTTCACACAATCTTAGGATATAATCTGTCGTTTCATGTTTTCTAATGGTGAGTTGATGCGTCTTTCAAGATATTCCTGAAATGAGCAATAAGGTTATTTTCAGGTTTATTTTCCTGGGCAAGAGTTTAATAGACTAGCAAATTATGTTGAAAGAACATAGTGGAATAATAAAGTCAATAAGTTCTGTGAATTTCCATGTTCAATGTAAAATAAAATAGTGGTTAACCCGAAATTCATTTCTATATAAAACTTTTGGCAGTTAATTTTGCAGCAAATTTCTGTGTTAAATTTTATTTTATGAAAAGTGCTGCTAATAACTTTGTATGCATTTACCATCTCTTCATGGACACAAAGGAACCATTAAGGGAAAAGTTGGCCTTAGATCAAAATTTCTCTTCAAGAGAATTCATATTTGTAAAATCAAGAAGCAAGTTACCATACTAAATAATAAAGGATTCCCTGAGGGGCCAGTCTCTTCTTTACTTAGGGTGTCATTAAGGTTTAATTTGTGGTCACACTACTGAAATCTTATTTTTAGAGGAGAAAAAGAAAAACATTAAAAAGAACATGGCAAAAATTCTTCCTTCATGTCAATCAGTAGACTCCATCATATTTTCTCATCATTTAACCACCCCCATGACTACATTCCTCCTAATTCAGTTTAGGAGGATGAATATTCTACAGATCCATAGTGCAACCACTCCCATTGCCCATCCTTCAGATCTCTTGCCCCTTTCATTCTAGGTCCCACCCCCTGGCAAAACACTATCCATTGGTAAACCTGGCTGTTGCAAACCGACAGCCATTTCCACTTGTACTTGACCATGAAAAATTCTTGGTTATTTTGGAAGAGAAAACAGTAGTGTGGAAAGTTCTATGTGAGTGAGGGTTGGCTACTTTCCTGCCACCTGGTTATAATAAAACCAAGTCACAGATTCAACACCACCACGTATTTAGACATTTTTATACGTAATCGTTTATTAGCAGGCAGATGGGGAGGGTTCTGCAAGCTTCGTGGAGACTGAGCTCCCCGACCTTTTAGAGATCTGTCCACATCTTGCCAGAGACTCTCTGGGTCATACACAACATCGCAGAAAGAGGACTCTGTGACCCCAACGCCTGTCACCAGGCAACAAAAAACCGTCTGACTCATTCTAAACACAGGCCCAGATAGGGATGTAATTTGCTATTCTAAGTGTAAGTAATGTCTCTAAAATATTTTAGGCCACCCATACCGCTTTACTACCACTAATCTTTGTAATCTCAGCACTTTGGGAGGCCGAGGAGGGTAGATCACGAGGTCAGCAGTTCGAGACCAGCCTGATTAACATGGTGAAACCCCGCCTCTACTAAAAATACAAAAATTAGCTAGGCATGGTGGTGCGCGCCTGTAGTCCCAGCTACTCAGGAGGCTGAGGCAGGAGAATCGCTTGAACCCAGGAGGCAGAGGTTGCAGTGAGCCAAGATCATGCCACTGAACTCCAGCCTGGGTGACAGAGTGAGACTCCATCAAAAAAAAAAAAAAAAAAATTCCCATTTCCAACAATTGTGTTAATTAATGAGTGTCAAACTTCACAAAGAAAAATGCACTCTTAATATTTATTAAGCTACTTTTTTAAAAAGCCTGGAGTTGACCAGGGATAGAAGGAATCAAATTCCTTGTTGTAAATGCCTATGGAGGATGGACTTTCTGACACCCTGAGAGTGAATTTCTAAGACAGCAACTGAAGGCCCCATGAGCAGACTTCAACTTTCTAATCTGGAGGGAAGTTTTAAATGATGTTCAGGATACAAAAGGCTAAAGATGTGTGACACATAGTACATGCAAGTGGAATTTGTTTCCCTTGTTTAAAACTAATCATATCTTTTTTTTTTTTGAGATGGAGTCTCGCTCTGTTGCCCAAGCTGGAGTGCAGTGGCATGATCTCAACTCACTGCAACCTCCGCCTCCTGGGTTCAAGCGATTCTCCTGCCTCAGCCCCCCGAGTAGCTGGGATTACAGGCGCCCACCACCATGCCCAGCTAATTTTTGTATTTTTAGTAGAGGCGGGGTTTCGCCATGCTAGCCAGGCTGGTCTCAAACTCCTGACTTGAGGTGTTCCGCCCGCCTTGGCCTCCCAAAGTGCTGGGATTACAGATATGAGCCACTGCCCCCGGCCTAATCATATCTTTTTAAGCAATCAATTGTTTCCTAGAGAAAAATATAACTAACTTACCTTTTGAAATTAAGCTCTTCCCTTTTGCTTCAGGAAAAACTCACTCAAACCAGGCTTCTCCTCTGTTCTCACACTAGAACAATAAACACAGAAGACTTCTGTGACCAAAGGTGTGGGAGTTTCTTCTCACCACCAAGCAGTGGACACCAGCTGGGTGTCCTCCAACTGAATTCCAACTCTATCTACCTGGAGATAGTGACCAATCCCATTGGTTGTAGGCTCAGTCCCCAACCCCCTCCTTCCTCCTAGTTGCAAGTCCAAGCCTCCTGAACTCTGACCAACTGGCATCAAGTCAGGGTTTCCACGACTCTCCCTGGGTTTGATTAATTTGCAAGAGCAGCCCACAGGACTCAGGGAAACACATTTACTGGTTTATTCTAAAGAATGTTGCAAAGGACACAGATGAAGAGATGCATATGGTGAGATACATGGGATGGGGTACAGAGCTATCATGTCCTGGGCATGACACCCTCCAGGGCCCTCCACGTGTTCCACTAACTGCAAGCCCTCTGAATTCTGTCCTTTTTAGTTTTTACGAAGCCGTGACTGATTAAACCATTGGTCATTGGTGATCAACTTGACCTTCTTTAATGTGACACATGTGCTGCCTAAAAATTCAATTCTGAGTCAAACTTGAGGTACACACAGATGTCATTGTCAACTGAAGGGCTACAACTTTTTCCCTTGCTCTTGGTGTTTATTAAATAACAGAAAATTTGTTCCTATGTGCGGGAAGTTGCAACTGCAGTGAAGTGTTCATGGTTTCCCTGAGGCTGACAGAGCACTCTCTTACCCAGAAACCCAGGACTCGCCTCCAGAGTGATATGTGAGTCCCATCTAGAGAGTCTGGGGTTGCATGGGGTGCAGGATTCTTCCTCTTCTCTCCAGACTCTGTTCTCAGACTGAGTCAAAGATTCAACGAAACGCTCCCTCGCCTGGTCATGCACTTGTGTTTAAAGAGAGGGTAGGTATGGTTCAGTTTCATTCTACAGTGCTGCCAGGTTCTGCTCAATAAGAATTGAGACTTACTGATGGCCCCAGGCCCAAGCAACAATGGAAACATCTCAAGGATTTCTTTTGCCTCATGGTTTTTTCCAAAACTTTAGTTTTCTTTTAAATCCAAAAACTCTTGACATTTTTGGTGAAAACATTTTCTCCAGGGCTGTGCAGAGGCTTATTCAACTGGTTGATGTTATGAAAAACATCTGCCAATGTGACTAGTGTTAATAAGCCATTCTCCATCTTCAAAGCACTCCAAAAACCTGGTTTTGTGTCATCTTGAAAGTATCCCTCAAGCACAGTCATGACATTTCTGTTTGGAGGAGAAGATGATGTCTCTTTATCTGACTTTTCACAAAATTTTAAAAATCTCAGTTGAACTTATCCCTGTTTGACTGTATTTGCAGGAGCATTCAAACCTTTTGTTACTTTCTTTTCTTTATTTTTTTTTTTTGAGACAGAGTCTCACTCTGTTGTCCAGGCTGGAGTGCAGTGGCGAAATCTCAACTCACCCCAACCTCCGCCTCCTTGGTTCAAGTGATTCTAGTGCCTCAGCCTCCCAAGTACCTGGGACTATAGGTGCCCGCCACCACACCTGTCTAATTTTTGTATTTTTAGTAGAGATGGGGTTTAAAAAATTCTGAGCAAACTATTGCAAGGACAGAAAACCAAACACTGCATGTTCTCACTCATAGGTGGGAATTGAACAAAGAGAACACCTGGACACAGGAAGGGGAACATCACACACCGGGGCCTGTCGCAGCGTGAGGGAGGGGGAAGGGATAACATTAGAAGATATATCTAATGTAAATGACGAGTTAATGGGTGCAGCACACCAACATGGCACATGTATACATATGTAACAAACCTGCACATTGTGCACATGTACCCTAGAACTTAAAGTATAATTTAAAAAAAAAAGAGAGATGGGGTTTCACCCTATTGGCCAGGCTGGTCTTGAACTCCTTACCTCAAGTGATCCGCCCACCTTGACCTCCCAAAGTGCAGAGATTACAGGTGTGAGCCACTCTGCCTGGTCATTCCAAGAGTTTTTGACCCCAAGCACTACTGCATGAACAAATCAGTGTGTTGTGACAATGCCAGGTTTTTTTCTTATTCTACAAAAAATGTGAAGCCTCTTATCAAGCCAACCCTGGATGAGGTGTTACCGGTACAGATGCTAACACAATGCCCCCAAGACAGATGCCTTGTTTAAAGATACGTAGACAAAATTTAAAGTAGATCTTGGCCTTTGCTTGGTTTGAGCAGCTCTTCATAGCTGAAAATATTGCTTGAATTTCATTACTATTTACCAACCTTACTTACAAATGACATGACTGGTGTCAAGTTAGATGCTGCTGCTGCTTTTATCAGTTTATTATTCAGAACTTTTCAGGGTCAAGAGGCTTTTCAGCAATATCTCAATTTGTCTTACCATTTGAGAGTGGATTATTTTTTTCCAGTTTCTTGTACTAAAAATGGGACTAGGATTTAACTCAGTATAATTTTACATCCTAGGGATTATTAAGTTTTCACAAAAAGTGTGGCCTTTCCTTTTATGGGCAATAAGTTCTGCTAGTACGTAAGTCGAATTCTGAGTCATTTCTCAGAAAGTGACTCTTTTTAGCAAATGCTTTACACTGTTTTGAGATTCCAATGGCGATGTCAAATAATCAGCATCTTTACTTCTGAGATGTGAGGTAAAGGGTCTTTTCCATTCTGCTGGAGCCATCACTGTGGTCACAAGTTGTTTGCCAGGAAAGACACAAAATCTGGCAAGACACAAATGCCCCGTGAAATTCATTGATAAGCAGTTTCCGTTGTAAATATGAACATACAAATTTATTACATACCCTTTATTGCACTTATACAATGAAATGACTAAGAAGATTGTAGTTCTTCATCACTTTATCAGCACAATCTGTAGGTCTAGACTTAAATTATCCTCTTCTTTCTCACATCTCGTTTTCAGAAATCACCACATGGACTCTCCAACATGATTGGCAATATAAATGCTAATAAATGATAACACAGAGGGCATAATAAATACTTGAACAGAAATTGCAAAAAAAAAAAAAAAAGAAAATGTCACAATAAAATTCTCTTCTAACCTATATAAACCTTGCCTTGCAATGCTTACCACAGCAAAATGCCAGAGCAGAAGCTGAGTTGCAACACACACAAAAATTCCTTCCTTAGAATGGAAATGTCCCTGCAATTTACTATTAGGTTGGGTGCAACTTGCTTGCTCCCTTGTATCTGTCAGGAGTGCAGAAGGTTGGTCAGGGGAGGTGATCTTGGGAGGGAGAGACTGGTATCTTCAGACTAGAGTCTTTCCATGGGCACTATAGCATCCACCGATTATCAACAGCCTTCCCCAATTTGCACAGAAAATTGAGAATGGACTCCTGCAAATAAACACAGTCCTGTTCACAGCAACACAACAAGGATTAAGGATCCCTAACAAAATCCCAACAGGGCTGCTACATCACCAGCATTGTGCAGTATGTGAAGTTCAAAAACTGGGGTTTATCCGTAATGTGATACCAACTTACTCCTGCAAGAATGGCCATAATCAAAAAATCAAAAAACAGTAGATGTTGGCGTGGATGCAGTGATCAGGGAACACTTCTAATTGCTGGTGGGAATGTAAACTAGTATGGCCACTATAGAAAACACTGTGGAGATTCCTTAAAGAACTAAAATGGAACTACCATTTGATCCAGCAATCGCATTACTGGGCATCTACCCAGAGGAAAAGAAGTCATTATAAGAAAAAGATACTTGCAGATTCATACGAAAAGTCATTATACGAGAAAGATACTTGCAGATTTATAGCAGCACAATTCACAATCACAAAATTGTGGAACCAACCCAAATGCCTATTAATCAACAAGTGGATAAAGAAACTGTGGTAGAAATATACAATGGAATACTTCTCAGCCATAAAAAGGAATGAATGAACGGCATTTGCAGTGACCCAGATGAGATTGGAGACTATTATTCTAAGTGAAGTAACTCAGGAATGGAAAAGCAAACATTGTATGTTCTCACTGATATGTGGTAGCTAAGCTGTGAGGACACAAAGGCATAAGGATGATACAATGGACTTTGGAGACTTGGGGGAAAGGGTGGGAGGGGTCAAGGGATAAAAGACTGCAAATAGGGTGCAGTGTATACTGCTCGGGTGATGGGTGCATCAAAATCTCACAAATCACCACTAAAGAACTGTAACCAAACATCACCTGTACCCCCAGTAACCTACTGCAAAAAAAATTTTTTTAATTAGGGTTTACTTTTTCATTCACACTCCCTTGCAGAATCACCAGTGACATCTCACAAGATGCCATTAGAGAAACTGTGTCCTAGAGCGTAGCTTAAATGAGCATGCACATTTATGTCTGACTATTTCTGCTAAAGAGTTCTTAAAGAACAGATGTCAGCCTGCTGATGCTCCACTCTCTCATTGCCCTATGCATTTGAGTGTTTCAGAAGAAATTCATATGACCCCGCTGGGGCAGAGATTCGTCTGATGCCATGAAACTTCGAGTAGACACGAAGGAAAGGCAAGAAATTAAACACAGGAGAACTTGGTTCAGTATCTGGGGCCAGCAAGGAATTATGCACTTAGAACCCAGATGATAGGTCTCAGTGAGGCAGGTTATCTCCACCTCTCCCTATCCCCACCCATCAAGCCCAAAGAAGGTGGATTAGTCTGTTTTCATGCTGCTGATAAAGACATACCCAAGACTGGCTGATGTATAAAGAAAAAGAGGTTTAATGGACTCACAGTTCTGTGTGGCTGGGGAGGCCTCACAATCATGGTGGAAGGCAAAAGGCACATCTTATATGGCGGCAGGCAAGAGAGAATGAGAGAGCCAAGTGAAAGGGGAAACCTCTTATAAAATCATCAGATCTGGTGAGATTTATTCACTACCACAAGAACAGTATGGGGGAAACTGCCTCCATGATTCAATTATCTCCCACTGGGTCCCTCCCACAGCACGCGGGAATTATGGGAGCTTCAATACAAGATTTGGGTGGGGACACAGCAGAACCATTTCAGAAGACATAAAGGCTTCTCTCACCTGGAGGATCCTTCACACTAAAGGTTCCTGGAACAGGCACCACCGAATCCTGGATTCATCTATAGCAGGAACAGGTAAGGGATCAGAGAACAATGATCCCTTACCCCATTACAAAATGTTCATATTTTAAATGTCTCCTTTACTTTCTTGCTAAGTACATGGTAAAACCTAGTGAAAGCAACATTAGGCAAGCCCAAGTCCTTATTTTTGTCGATTTTTTCACCCAGACCAATATTTGGGGTCTGCTCTAGTTCACAGATTGGTCTCATTTTGAACTCATGTTGATAAATCTCCAATAAACACTCTTCATGGCCTGGAAATTCTTAGAGGCTTTTCAGGTAAGCCTGCTCTACCAGCTCTTATCAAAGTGACCGCTCTCTTGCGTGTTACCAAATATGTTGGATATTTGTATCCTGATTTTACACCACCTTTTAGTAGCATTTTGTGCATTTCACTATCTCATCTTTTATTTTTTGCTACAAGAATATGTATTCATTGTAACAACTTTATTGAGATATAATTTACATACCATGCAAATAATTCATTTAAAGTATACAATGTGGTGGTTTTTAACACAATCTGTTTTGGAATATTTCATCACCCCAGAAAGAAACCTGTACCCACTACCCATCACTCTCTAATCCCCCCAGCCCTCCTTCCAGCCCTAAGAAACCAGTAATCCACTTTCTGTCTCTAGAGATTTATCTATTCTGGATATTTCATATAAATTGAATTATATATCATGTGATCTTTTATGACTGGCTTCTTTCACAGAGTATGTTTGCAAAGTTCAGCCATGTTGTAGTATATATCAGTATTCCATTCCTTTTTATTGCCAAATAATATTTCACTGTATAGATCTACCACATTTTGCTTATCTATTAATCACATGGCGGGCATTTGGGTTATTTCCAGCTTTTAGCTATTATGAACAATGCTGCTGTGGTCATTCATGTACAAGTCGTTGTGTGGACATATGTTTCATTTCTTTTGGGTATATGCCTATGAGTAGAAGTGCTGGGTCATATGTTAACTCTGTGTTTAACCTTTTGAGGAACTGCCAGACTGTTTTTCAAAGTGACTAAACCATTCTTACATTCCCATCAGCAATGAATAAAAGTTCTAATTTCTCTGCATTCTCATCAACACTTATTATATCTGTTTTTTTTAAAAAAAATTACAGCCATCCTAGTGGGTGTGAAGTGGTTGTGGTTTTCACTGGCATTTTTCTGATGACTAATGAGGTTGAACATCCTTTCATGTATGTACAGGTTATTTTTATATCTACGTTGGAAAATGTGTATTTAGATCTTTTGCCCATTTTTTTAAATGGTTGACTTGGTGTTTTTTTTTTAATTAGTGAGTTGTGTTATTTATATATTCTAGACACAAGTCCTTTATCAGATATATGATTTGCAAATATATTCTTCAAGTCTCTTGGTTGTTTTTCCACTTTCTTGATGATATCTTTTGAAGCACATGTTTTCATTTTTGAAGTTCCATTTTTTTTCCTTTTGTTGTTTGTGCATTTGGCATTGTATTTAATAAAACATTGCCTAATCCAGAGTCTCAAAGATTTACCCCTATGTTTTCTTCTAAGATTTTTACAGTTTTAACTCTCACATTTAGGTGTTTGGTCCATTTTGAGTTAATAATTGCATATTATGTGAGGAAGGGTCCAGCTGTTTTCTTTTGCATGTAGATATCCAGTTGTTCATGCACCATTTGTTAAAAAAAATTCTATTCTGTTGATTGTTTCGGCAACCTTGCTAAAAATCAATTGACCATAAATGTGAGGGGTTATTTCTGTGTTCTCAATTCTCTTCTATTGATTTATATGTCTATTTTTATGCAGCACCACACATCCTCTTCTTGAAACATTCTTCTCGTGGCTTCCAGACCACAAAACTTTTCTGGGTTTTTTCCAATCTTTCCATCTCCTGTGTAGTTTCACCTACTTGTTGCAGCCATATCCCTGAGCTCTAAATTTGTCTATCTGACTGCTTCTGCTGCATCTCCATTTAAATGTCTCATTTAAGGCATTTCATACCTTACATGTCCAAAACTAAACTTTTGCTTATCTAAGATAGCAAAATATTCTTATTCAAGTCTTCCCATGAAAATGGCATTTCATCCACCCAACTTAGCTAGAAACTTGAAAATCACTTGTCTCCATTTCCTAACATCATCTGTATCAATTGGGATCTAGTCAAAAGACAGAAATCTCACTAGTTATTTTAACAAAATGAATTTAATATAAATAATTTCAACCAGATGTTAGAGAATGCAAAAAGACAAAAAGAAAACATTAAGATATCACAAAACTATTAAATGCGGTGAAAAACTATCTGCCTTAGGTCTGGGGGAACACAGAGATAAGGTTGGAGTTATTAAGAGCTTGGGATTATGAGACACCTGGAGGAAATATTCCATAAAGCAGGACTTAGACCTCTAAGGAGGACTCTCCAGCCAGCCGTTGCTCCTGTCTCAGGATGGGTTTGGAATGGGAGTGAAGCTGAACCTAGCAATATTAGGAAACGTGCAAACTGAAATCTACTGTCACTGCCAAGGTGTATTAGTATCATCTTTGCTAGAACCTTGCCAACAGGAACTGGAAGCAAAAAGGAAAGAGCAGGTCTCTTCCTATGATGCCTCTAGCCTTTCAGTGTCCCTTAGTGTCTTCCTTCAGCAGAGCTTAGCAGGTTGGCAGCTGATAATGCAGAAATTTTGTGATATAGAGTCTCCATCTCAGCATCCAGAAGAAATGGGTGTGGAAGGACAGCTTTGAAGCTGAGAAGCAGTAACTTAGTAACCAGCTCAGTCCATCCTTTTGATTACTCAGCACCCACACTTCCTGTTGTTTCTGCCTGAATGCTCTGGACCCTACCTGCCTCTCTAGCCTCAATCCCTAACTCACAGTATGTTGACCATTTTAACATTCTTTCAGATCCCCAAATCCCCAAAATGATTTCTGGCCTTAGGATTATCACATTTCACCTGGACCACTCTCTACCCCATATCCATACCAGTTCTTTGCCTGACTGGCTCCTTCTCATCTTCAAGTCTCAGTTAAACTATCTCTTCCACAGAGCGGGCATCCTTAACCATGCAATTAAAGAAGCAACTGACTCTTGCGTATAACAATTTTTCTTTTCCATCATTGTATTTATATATTCATTGTATGTTTATTCATGTGACAATTTTTTATGTCTGTCTCCATCAATAGAATATGAGCCCAATATTTACCTTGTTTATCACTTTATATATAACATCCATCATAGCACCTGATATTTCGTAATGCTGAATAAATATATGTTGAATGGATGCTACTGAACCAACCCACTGTGTTGTCAGGGGTACCATATTCATCTGCAAAAGAGATCCGTTTTGTTTTGGGCAAGTGTTAAGTCAAGAAGTGGAGGTGAACATTTAAAAAACCTAGTGGAGAGAATATTTTTCTTGGCCTAATTGTAACCATGGTGCACCCAGACCTGAGATGCATTTAAAAACTTTTTTAGTTAAAAAAAGAAACATTTCAAGAAACAGGATCATAGTCATCTGGAAAATAAAAACAGAAAATGGGTATTTGGAAGAACTGGAAAATAGGTAAAAGTAGTTCAGATTATGAATACTTTGAAGGCCAAGCACAGGATACACAGCTGTTTGATTTCCCCTGAAAACTCAGCAAAAAGGATGAGCTTCTGTTGCAGTAGCAGTGGTCTAGTTTTACCAACAGGAAGAAATTCCAATAAAAGTCATGTGTCATTTGAATAGATCAACAACAGGCAGGTAACATGTGTATTCAGTAGAAGAAAGGGGATGTTTGGGACTTGAAAGTGGAAGAGAGGAATAAGGAAACAGTGTCTTTCAAATTGACTTAGAATTTCCTCTTTTCTGTGTTCATGTTTTTCACTAGCTGTTCCCAAGTGTCCTCAAACAAGTCATTTTTCACTGCAAGGATAAGTCTCAGCCAATACCTTTCACCAGATAACATGGAAGATTCCTAACTTATAGTAGGGGCCAGCATCATGGGCATGCAACCCATGTAGTCACAAAGAGCCCTGTGCCCAGAAGGGCAACACACTTGACATGAGGTTCTGCTGTTGCCATCATGAAATTCATCGATTTCTGATTAAGAGATCCTGCATGTTTATTTTGGACTAGACTCTGCAAATGGTGTAGCTAGTCTTACTCATAGTCTAAGTTCTGAGCCATATTATGCTAAAAGAATTTCCACATATAAGTCCTTCCCAACCCTGGGCTTCATTTGATAACTTTATTTTATTAATATGAGTTTAGAAGGTACTATGTCCAATCACCCTTCCCAGTCCCTGAGATTCCCTCCCCTGCCCTTGATGACATGCACGATTTCTGCTACATAATAAGCATGGGTGGGAATTCACTATAATTTGAATTTCCCAAAATAAAGATCACAAATTAATAAATCTGCTAAAGATGATCTTGCACATAACTAAATGACTTTTGTGCAAGGGGACATTTAAAAATATATTCCCCGAGTGTAAATTGCCTCCCTCCTTTCTCTGCTACCTCAGATCCCTGACCTCACACCAACTAGAAATACAGTGGAAATTATCAGTACAGCATTATTAATTCTAGTTTTCCACTAAAAGACCTGTATTGTTGAAACAAGACTTTATACATGAAGCATTTTGTAGTTCTGTGAGTGCTTTCACATACTTTGCATCATTTGACCATCACAACAGATGTGTGGTAAGCAGAGTGGATCTTATAATTCCATGTAGTAACAGTGTCAAGGGCAAATACAAGGAGATGGCAACTCAGGGTCAAGTCTAGCCTAGACCACTTCCTTGGTTGTAAAATGAAGATGAAATGTGATCATATGTGTGAAACTCCTAGTACAGTGCCCAGCGTGGAATACATAGGCATTTTTGCTGTTGTGTGCATGCCACCCTGGAGAAATTGAGGACAAACATGGTCCTGATTAGAATCCCATCCACTCACCACCATCCGTCTCCAGCAGTTCCCACAAGCATCCTGCTTTCTCATGGCCCCTTGACTTTCCACCTGCTGCTCTGTCCAAAATTGCTGCTGCCCATTTTCCATCTGGTTAACTCCCACTTACTGTTAAAGACTTATCTCATGTGGCCCTTTTTCTAAGGCTTTCCCCTCTCAGCTCTTCTCCAGGCTGTGTTAGGTGATCCTTCCTGGGACTCCCGTCTCCCTCTCCTAGGTATGGCTGCACCGTGTTGTGCTATAGCTGCCTGCTCCCAAGTTTGTCTCCTCTGTTGCCAATACTTACCTTTAGGTCAGGTAATCTCTGTTTTGCAGTTCTTGAGTAGATGTTCAATCAATATTCTTTCCTTAAATGAATGAATACATAAATGAATAAAAGAAGGTAGGAAGGAAGCAATTAATTTGCTTTTTGTGTGTGCCCCTTGTAACATAACTGAGATGCCAACAGCTTTTCCACTATCCTGGAGATAAGCCAGCACTCTGTTTTAAAGCAGAAAGCAGCAGGGCATGATTTCCCTCAAGGAAAGCATTTCTTGAGTTTCCAGGGATCTAGCCTGTGGCCACAGGTTTAGAAATGATAAGACAGCTGAATCTGAGTTGGGGGAAGGAGCATCAGTTCATTGCAAAGATCATTTTTCTTGGCACTAGTCAAAGAAGAGGACAGAGACATCTGCATGTCCCAATGACATCACTTGGCCCTGCCTTGCACAATAGAGGAAAAGAGCTGTCAGGGCAAATTTCCAGTTTATCTAGACATAGCTGGGCCAAGGCCAAGATTTTCCACCCCTCTCCCTACCCCTACTGCTCCCAACACCGAAAATGGCCTTTGGAGCATTGAATAAAACTGCCGGGAAAGAGCCAAGCTCTTCATCATGAGTTCAAGGTGGTGTCATCCTATACCCCTCACCCTTCTGTGCTTCCACTCGCCACCCCCAACTTCCACCCAAGAAGCCACTCCCTGAATTTGAAGATTAGCATTACTCCACATTTTTTATACTTAAGCTATATATGCATATATCCTCAAAAATGTAGAGCCTTGTTTAACATTTCTTAAACTTTATGTATGTTTTATCATGTTGTACACACTCACCTTAACTTACGAGTGTCTTCTCAATATTACATTGTGAAATTTACCCATTTGAATATTTGTAGCTCTGCTTCATTCATTCCCTTGGGTGACTCTCAGGTCCCCAGGGTGGGTGTCAAATGTGACAGAAGCTAGTCAGAAATGTGCTCTGTGTGGTATGTGAGGCTGGTGGGAGGGCATGAAGGGGCATACCACTCTCAGCTCTTAGCCTGCTCTCATCTTGGGGTAAACGTGTATCCGGGGAGGATCTGTGATCTGCTTCATCACATGGAGACTGGGCTGATCTCATTTCCTGAGCTTTGCTCCCCTCTTGAGTGATTCTACAATCAGACAGTATATTGTCACCAAAACAACGCTGGGCTGGAAGTCAGAAACCTAGATTCTTGTCCCAGTTCTGAAATAAGAACCCATGTGACCTCTGGTAAGTTATTTCACCTTAGCAAGCCTCAGTTTCCACGTGGAGTATAAGTTGGTTTTCAGAAGCCTTACAAGTCACAGAGTACCCATGCGGCACATTTCTAGGGTGGCCTGCCGTGAAGTTGCCAAACTTTGTACGGAAGGACCCTGTGGTGGTCTCTGCACCCCCACTTCCCACCTAAAGATAACCACGCAGATTACCTAACTTTCCTAAGCCTCCCTTACCTCCTCCCCACAAGTTGAGAAAATGATGAAGTTATAAAATGCATGTAGGGTGGGCACGGTGGCTCACGCCTGTAATCCCAGCACTTTGGGAGACTAAGGTGGGCGGAACACCAGGTCAGGAGATAGAGCCCATCCCGGCTAACACGGTGAAACCCTGTCTCTACTAAAAATACAAAAAATTAGCCGGGCGTGGTGGCGGGCGCCTGTAGTCCCAGCTACTCGGGAGGCTGAGGCAGGAGAACGGCATGAAACCCAGGAGGTGGAGCTTGCAGTGAGCCGAGAGAGATTTCGCCACAGCACCCCAGCCTGGGTGGCAGAGCGAGACTCCGTCTCAAAAAAGAGTAAATAAATAAATAAAATGCATGTAAAGTGCTGAGCACAAGGCTGGCACATAAAAAGTGATAAATGTTAGTTAATAGTATCAGCATTTTTCTGAAGATAATATTTTCCCTTTTTTGCATAATCTCTGTCCTCCTAAAAATATGCATCCCCCATACCTATTCCTATAAGTCTTTGGAGGGTATTTTGTCTTCTCCTGTAACTGCCACTGATCATGCCCCTACACCCAACCATGTCACCACAAGGACACAGAGGCCACGGCACTGGTGCTGTGCTGCCTTTGACCACCATAGCCAGCCTCCAAGTCTGGAGCACCAATGCTTCTTTAATACTTTTCCCAAAAATCCTAGACTTTGTTCCATTTCCCAAAAGTAAAAAAGCCAAAGCAAAGAAGGAAACCTCTCAAAGTCATTCTTGCCTTATTTTGGTTGCTGATTTTGATCATTGTTGTTTATTTTCAATCCCTTTTCTTCTGAGCACTCATGGAATATAGGCTGGGAAACAAGTCTAACAGAACTTTGCCTCTCTCTCTCCCAACAGCCAAGGGTAGTTTTGTCTCTTGAGCGTATTTCTGAGATCTAGGTCATATCTATGTACCTTATGCTCATCTCTGCAAATAGGCTGTTGCCCAAGAAACTTTTTGGTTCCTCAGAAACTTCTGGTCACCAGCCGGGCGCGGTGGCTCACGCCTGTAATCCCAGCACTTTGGGAGGCTGAGGCGGGTGGATCACGAGATCATGAGATCGAGACCATCCTGGCTAACATGGTGAAACCCCGTCTCCACTAAAAATACAAAAAATTGCCAGGTGTGGTGGCGGGCGCCTGTAGTCCCAGCTGCTTGGGAGGCTGAGACAGGAGAATGGCGTGAACCTGGGAGGCGGAGCTTGCAGCGAGCCAAGATTGCGCCACTCCACTCCAGCCTGGGCGACAGAGCGAGACTCCATCTCAAGAAACAAAAACAAAAACAAAACTCCTGGTCGCCATGCTCGCTTTGGTTCTGTCTCTAGCTCTGCCACCCTGGGACTTCAGGACCCTTCTGAGCTACAGTATTCCCACCTCTGCCCGTCAGTGCAGAGGCCCACCCCTCAGCACTCTGTAAAGACCCTCCCCTTCCCCTTGTTGGCCGATTTCTCCACCTCTTAATGAAGGAGTAACCATCTGGCCTCTCTTAGGGGACATCATTAGAGGGTGTCATAGAAAAAAAATAATTGTCCCCCAAAGATGTTATTGTAATCCCGGAACCCGTGGATATGTATTTTTTATGGCAAAAGGGTCTTTGCAGGTGTGATCAAGTTAAGGCGCTGGAGATAGGGTGATTATCCTGGATGACTGGGGCAAAGATAGGGTGATTATCCTGGATGACTGGGGTGGACCCAATGTACAAGAAGGAAGTGGGCTTTGGAGTTAGAGAAGAAGATGTAGTGGGATGAGCAGAGATGGGAGAGAGAGAGACAGAAAGGGACTTGAAGATGCTATGCTGCTGGCTTTGAAGGTGGGGAAGGCAACACGAGTCAAAGAAAGCAGGAAAAGGCAAGAAATAGATATAGATGCTCCCCCACTCCCGCAACCCAGGGTACCCAGGAGGAACACAGCCCAGACCACACCTTGATTTTAGGACTTCTGACCTCCAGAACTGACACATAGTAAATGTGTGTTGTCTTAAGCCACTACATTTGTGACTTTGTTACAGCAGCAATCCGGACCTAATATAGGTGAGTGAGCAATTTCCGTGTGAAGGATCCACTCAAGTCCTCCCAGCTCCTGAAGTCTTTTAGTCCCCTCTTCTGCCTTAACGTGAGGCACTCTGGAGTCTCAGAGTCCTTGAGTCTGGTCAGCTACTTCCTGAGGGCAAGCTTCAGCCAACCTTCCCAGAAAACGTTTAGAATCACTCTCTCTTATTTGAGCTGGTACATTGAATCCAGAATCTCTGGTAAGTGCCCCTAATTTGAGAAATTCAGCCTCACCTAAAATTGCGTTCCTTTCTTCCTGGTTTATGACCTTAAAAATTCATTCTCACCTATGCTTCTCTGGTTTCTGCTGGTATTCATTGGCAACATCTTGTAATTCATTGAGTCTGTAAGCATTCTCCTCCCAGGTAAGACCGTATTTACCCCCTGAGCCTTGCTGGGATATGGCTCTGGAGTTACGAGGGATAGAGAAATCAAGAGTCTGGAGGCCATGAGAGAATGGTCCTGTGTGAGAAGCGTGATCCCTGTTAGAAATCACCCAGGTGAGATGTTTGCATTAAGCCTTAGGGGAGGAGGGCTTGCTTCTGTGGCTGACAAAGCCTCTCTGGGGTTTGAATCTGCCCAAACATCCTCTTTCCAATCCTCTCTTTCCCAGAATTGTCCTATTTTCACACACACACACACACACACACGAGAATGGGAAGGCTGGAAAGGCAGAACCTGTGCTGTAATTCAGCAGCCCATGAGGACAGACCATGCCTGATTGCCAGCTGCATCAGCCCCATGCCTACAAGACATGAGCACACGCAGGGAAGTGCTGTGGTCCTCTGCCTGTTTCTTTAAAAGAAAATCTCAACCCTGAGCTCATCATATTATTTTAAATTAAGCTTTCTGGCACAGTTAAAAACAGGTAACCCATATTCTGAAGGCAAAATATCCTTGTTGCTTTCACACGTAATCTGATAAGATTGACAATCCAGATTGCCCATTTTCTTGAGAATAATCACACCAATTAGGGTAAAAGTTTACTGGCAAAGAACAGACTTCACTCTGGCTAGTTTACGTAAGAAGAGATTCTTATCACAGGCTAGTAAACACCTTCCAGAATCATTGCGAACGCTGCAGAAACAAACTCTGGGCTGTGCTTTTAGGAATAACGTTCAAATTATACTGCAGTCTCTGGCAGACAAGAGAGTGGTTGCTTTTGCCGCAATCAGGCACGGGGAATATGCTGCTTGAGGGATGAACCTGCCTCTGCACACAAGGGTCCCTGTGCCAAGCCGGCTCACTAGGATCCGTTTCAATGGAAAGGAGGTGTGTTGCCCACCTCAAATCCAAGTTCTGAGCAAATGTTTCTGCTCGCAGAACCTAAATCACATCCCAAACTCCAACTGCAAGGGAATCTAGGAGATGTCATTTTTAATATTCCAGCCTCTACTCCAAGAAGGCAGTTGAAACCAATCCGCAGTGTCTGCCCACTCCCGTGGGGATTCCTCAAGGAAGTACCACCAAGGGACTATCTGGAAAATCATGCAGTGAGGGTAATCCAAGCCCAACAGCTGCATTCGTGAGCTCTGGACATGCCAGAGACTTCTTGGCAGATGAGCTGGGAGTCAGAGCCTTGAGAAGAATGCAGGACCAGTTGTTTGGCAAGTGAGGGAGGCAATTCAAACTCAGCTCAGATGTTATGCGGATCAGGAATTTGAACTTCGAATTGTGCTCCATTGTTACCTTTTTGTGTGTTGGATTTTTCTTCATAGTTACTTTTATCTTATTGTTTAAAGTTCTCCTATTTTATTTCAGAAATGGAGAAAAAAGATTTCTACACCATAGTCAAGGTCTCTAATGGGAGAACTAACTAGTGAGAGAGGAATTATTCCCACCAGAGGGGAATTCCCTCTGACAAGCTTCTCAATTTACAAATTCTCAGCTTATGTTGAATTTGGCAAATGAGAGCCATATACACATTGTTTTTATTTTGGAATTTGGATCTATACAATTAACTAAGTGAAAGCTAGTATGCTATATGAATGCTAATTAATTGCTCCTCTTTTAAATAACAACAATTAAGACATTGTTAGCTGTACTGGTTTGCATACACAAATTGTTTGTCTTTGCTACTGGAGAAACTCACTGATCACAGCTGCATGAAAAATGTCTGGTCTACGAAACTTCCATCCATCTTCACATGATAATGCTTAGTTATGCACAATTAATTAACACTTGTAGATCAAAGGATTTTACTCTTATTTATGTCTACCTTTAACTCCTAGAATTGTGTACAATTACTTCCTGAGAAAATTTGTGCAGAATAATCACTTAACATGAAATAAAGTAATAAAACATTGAAACTGGGATGTGCATATGTGCATGAGTCTGGGATTGGGTGAGTTTCTGACAAATTGAGCATATGGAGCCTTGTGATTGATACAAAAGTAGCCATCTCTGAGAAGCCCCAAGCAGCTCGTGTTTGCACAGATTCTCTAGTGACTAAGACTGTTCTTATTTTCTCTACGCCTTTTTCCACTTTCCCATAAGCATTTTTAGACTATGCACTGTTTTTCTACACTGAAATCATCAAGTCACCTCCAAATCTTAAAACCAAGCAGAGAAAGGCCATTATTTAATCATAGCAGTTATGGGGTACAGAAGCAGTCTTCACATTTCCTACATCACATGCAGCCAGAAATCATTTCCTCCCACTGTAAACCCACCAGATTTTTTTTCAACTCACAGGAAGAAACAATGTTTTGGTCTCACTTATTTGCAGGTATATTGGAGGTTTGTATATCTTAAAAGAGAAACTGTCTCTAAGCCCCCAAACCCAAACCAAGGTTAAAAAATGCCCCCTTTTTCCTATTTGGCCTGGAAGCCAAATAATGCTTTCAAAGTAAACCTGTGCATTTTTAAAAACCAATGAGGATAATTCAGAATAAATAAATAAATAAATAAATATTCAAGTTTTCTCTCAATTTTGCAGATCTGGCCACACATCACATCAGCCTCAGGGTCTTCAACATTTTGTGACTGCCACGAGCTTTCCCCAGAACGATAAGATCAACACCGGTGGCTGAATATATCTCTGTCTCTAATTAAAGGCTTCCTTCTGTGCTGTGCTATGGATTAACTTGTAATCTACCGGCAGGTCTTCTTATGCTAGTTACCAAATACACAGTTCCAGGGACGAATTCTCTTTGAAACACCTCATTGATGAGTATTTAAAGCAGGGATCCCTAACCTCTGGCCTACAGACATGTAGCATTCCATGGCCTGGTAGAAACCAGGCTTCACAGCAGAAGGTGAGTGGCGGGCCAGCAAGCCAAACTTCATCTGTGTTCACAGCCGCTCTCCGTGGCCCACATTACCATCTGAGCTTCGCCCCCTATCAGATCAGTGATGGCATTAGATTCTCACAGGAGCATGAACCCTATCGTGAACTGTGTGTGCGAAGGATCTGGGTTGTAAGCTTCTTATGAGAATCTAAGGCCTGATGATCTGTCACTGTCTCCCATCACCCCCAGATGGGGCTGTCTAGTTGCAGGAAAACAAGCTCAGGGCTCCCACTGATTCTACTTTATGGTGAGTCGTAGAATTATTTTATTATATATTACAATGTAATAACAATAGAAATAAAGTGCATAATAAATGTAATGCACTTGGATCATCCTGAAACCATCCCTGTCTCCACCCCATCCATGGAAAAATTATCTTCCATGAAACCAGTCCCTGGTGCTGAAACGGTTGGGGACTACTAATTTAAAGGACACCCCATCATGCATCTCAACTACTATTTTTGAGGACAGATGTTAGTTATCCTGAATAATCAATTTTGTTATTCATCTGTTTCTCTTTTATATTTCTCACAGATACGATTTATCAACTGGATAATTTCTCTGAGTAATCAAGAAATTAGTAGCCTACGCTTGTAGTATGTGTTAACTGGGGAGATAAAGATTCCAAGGATAAAGAGAGTAAATTGATGTACATCTAATCAATGGATGTAACACCAATTTAAATGTTTAATCAATTCTCACAAACTCTTCAAACCCCTTGAGATGCTCTGTGTTCTCAGGTGGCTGCCATGCAGAGCCTGCGAATCCAGCAAGGGACTCTTGAGGCACCAGCAGCCTCCTTGTGAATGGCACCTGTCCCCCTAGCAAGACCACCGCCCTGGCCTGGCTTCATTACCTGGTCGTATAAAGACGGCAATGTTTCACTACCTTCCCAGAATTAGTGCTGACTCCCTTGAGTACCCAAACAGGAAATCCACAAGTTTTAAAGTACCCGTTCAATCAACCATGCTTGGTAACTTTCACACAGGCTTATGCAAGAACTTGCTCCAGTACTGTTTTTAATCATCTCTTCTGGAGCTGGCAAATTGTTTGCTTAATTTTGCATATGCCAACTCCAACGAGCTCATAATAGCTCCCAGGAGCGCTGCATTGAGAAGGATTCTGAGATCCTATATGAGCTTATGGGAAAGCACATTGTGTCAGGCAGCATTTATGCCCCATCAGTCTTGCTCCAGCCACTGCTGTAGGAACCACCTGTGCACAAGTGAACCTCACAACACCTCACTTCAGTTTCCTGCTGTCTCTTTTGCCTTCTATCTGGGGGCAGTCCTGCTCCTGTGGTGAGGAATCTCTGTAGGAACCAGCCCAGCCATGCTGCCAGTGGGCTAATTGCTGGGGCAGCCCTTGACCAGTGGGCTGAGAGCCAACAGGGAAATACTCCATTTCTGTGTCTTGGGTGGACAGTGCTGAGGAACATCCTACACCATTCCTCAGATTGCCCTTGATATGGTTTGGCTCTGTGTCCCCACCCAAATCTCATCTTGAACTGTAGCTCCCATAATTCCCACGTGTTGTGGGAGGGACCCAGTGGGAGATACTTGAATCATGGTAGTGAATAAGTCTCATAGGATCTGATGGTTTTATAAGGGGTTTCCCTTTTTGTTTGGCTCTCATTCTCTCTTGTCTGCCACCATGTAAGACATGCCTTTTGCCCTCCACCATGATTGTGAGGCCTTTCCAGCCACGTGGAACTGTGAGTCCATTAAACCTCTTTTTCTTTATAAATTACCCAGTCTCAGGTATATCTTTATCAGCAGTGTGAAAACAGACTAATACAGTCCTCCCTGGGGTTGATCCCACAGCCATAACCAGCTAATAATGCATCTATAAACCGGCTGGAATTCCCACTTTCCCTCCTCACTCTCCTCAGTTCCCCATTCCTGTTCTCTCAGATCACTTCTCAAAGTAAATTGTTTCTATAAGAGTTCTTATCTCAAGTTCTGCTTTCTTGGGGGGAAATCCAAGCTAAGAAAAGTCGCTGCTAAATTATTGGGGTTAGCCATGAATGAAGGTTTCATGGGGAGTTCTACCTCTTAAGTTCTACCTCCTGGTGTCTTCCATCCCTTACAATGATTTCAACTCCAATCAGCAGCGGAGCAACTGATACAATATCACTGAGGAGGCGGTTCAGTTAGCTGACAGTTGTTATCATTATGTATAGTTTAGAATAAACAATGTGTTTGTTTTAACTCCAAGTTCAATCTTTCGTTCATCATCTTTAAAAATTAAGACAAATGTTTCATCCTCATTATCAACAACAATATCAACAATCTTTTCTGGGTGATTTTTTTTTCAGAGTACTGTCTGAAAAGTACTGTTGAGAATGACCAAGGAGACAAAAATAGAGAACTACTTGCGAGACTAAAGTATAAATGATAAAAGAGGGTAGGGAGCTGAGGGGATGAAGAGAGGTTGATTAATGGGTACTATACTAGTTCGTTCTCACACTGCTATAAAGAACTACCTGAGACTGGGTAATTTATAAAGGAAGGGGGTTTAATTGACTCACAGTTCTACAGGCTGTACAGGAGGCATGGCTGGGAGGCCTCAGGAAACTTATAATCATGGCAGAAAGGTGAAGGGGAAGCAGGCATGTCTTCATATGGTGGCAGAAAAGAAGGAGAGCGAAGGGGGAAGGGCTGCACACCTTTAAACAACCAGATCTCATGAGAACAGTAAGGGAGAAGTCTGCCCCCATGACTCAATTGCCTCTCATGAGGCCCTTCCTGTGGGGATTGCAGTTTTACATGAGATTTGGCTAGAGACACAGAGCCAAACCATATCAGGTACAAACACACACTTAGAAGAAATAAGACCTGGTGTTTGATACATCAGTAGGTTAATTATAATTAACATGAAGTGATTGCACATTTCAAAATAACTAGAAGATAATAATTTGAACATTCCTAGCATAAAGATAAATATTTAAGATGTTGGACATCCCAATTACCCTGATTTGATTATATGAATGTACCAAATTATTACATGTACCCTAAAAATATGTACAGCTATGGTGTATCAATAAAAATAAATAAATATTTTTATAGCAAAAAAGATCTGAGAGCAAAAGCTATAATAATAATATAAATTGCATATTCTGAAAACTAAATAAATGCCACCAAGAAAAAAATACTATCTTTAGGGAAGAGGTGGAACTTGAATTGGATGTGCAAAAAAAGGATTGGATTGGCAGAGGAGTAGAAAGGGAATTCCAGGCTGAGGATTGGTTTTAGCAAAAGTGCAGCATGGGAATGCATGTGGCATGTTCAAGAATTAATTAGGCAATGAGTTTAGGATAGAGAATATTTATGGAAATAGAGGGAGATAAATTTAAAGAAATAGACTGGGACTATACTACGAAGGATGATAAAGACCAGAAAAAGGAGTCTGAATGTTTATTCTATAACCCATAAGGTCTTATTGGCTATTTGGTGACTCAAACTATCAATAAGCCTTGAAGCTTGCAGACCAGAACTAACAAAATATCCCAGATAATATAGATGAACACAAGGAAGACTGCAGTGTGCTCTTGAACCACACAACTGCTACTCACAATTCTTTCGAATAATAAAAGGTGAAGGTGAGAACTTTAAGAAATGCTTAAAAGAAGGGGAAATAAAATAAAAATTGGGATGTCAGAGAGCTATATGCACTCCCATGTTCCCTATAGCAATATTCACAATAGCCAAGATATGGAATAACCTCTGTCCATCAAGGGATAAATGACAAAGAAAATGTGGTATAAGTAAAGCCTTAAAGAAAAGAAAAATCTATCATTCTTGACAACATGAATAAACCTGGAGGACATTATGCTGGGTGAAATAAGGCCGGCAGAGGAAGAGCAATACCACATTATCTCAAAACATCTCATGATGTGGAACATAAAGACGTCAAACTCATAGATGCAGAGAGTAGAATGGTGGTTACCAAGGACTGGAGGTGGGGGGGGAAATAGGGGATTGTTAAACCATACAAAATTTCAGTTCGACAGGAGGAACAAGTTCAATATATCCATTCTACAACATGGTGATTCTGGTTAACAGCAACGTGTCGTATACTTGAAAATTGCTCAGAGATTTTAAATATTCTCACTACAAACAAATGAAAACTGTTTGAGGTAATGTACATGTTAATTAGCTTGATGTAGCCATTCCACAATGTACACATATTTCAAAACATCATATTGTGCACCATAAATAGACACGGTTTTTAAAATTTCTCAATTTGAAAAAATGTTTTAGAGAAGAAAGCAAAGAAGACAAAAAGCAAGACCTTACTGCTGAGCCTGAATCCACCGGCCTGGATACCAGTGGATTTTCCTGAATGAAGTCACTGATTTTTTTTTTTTAAGTAATCATTACTTTTCAATTCTAGGACTTAGAAAATGCTTGTAACATATTTGCAAGGCAGTAAAGGATTAGTCACTGAATATATCAATGTGTTAAAATGATAAAATAATTAGGCAGGCAAGATGGAAAAGGAAAAAGGCTTTAAAATCTGCAGCGGAAGGATGGATTTAGATAGCTGCCTCATACCTCCTCCTTCTTGTTTTATATTTTTAATCCTGTTAAAAAAAATCACTCCCTCAACAAATATTCTTTGAATGGTGACTGTGTATCATGGGAAGGTTACTGGAGGCACAGGCTTAAAGTCAACACTGCTTTCAAATCTACACTCTGCCATCTACTCACCCATGGTTTTTGCAAATTGTGCGTATTTTCTGATCCTCAATTTTCTTTTCTGTAAAACAAAGATATAATATCTACCTCATAGTCTAATGTAAGAATCATATTTATAAAAGTTCTATAATATGCAATCAATTAATGGAAACTTAAAGATTAAAAAGTTTCATTTTCCATATCATCAAAAAAATGGAAAGATAAATTACTGTATGATAGGGCATTTGCTAATTTCCTAGCTATAATTTCAGCAATTGTGATAGGCTCTGCCTACAGAAATAATTTTAGTTGGAATTTAAATATCTCTATTAAATCTTTAAATTTCATTAGGAAACATAAATTCTGACTTCTCATTTAAAGATGGCCTATCCAATGTCCATGTATTTAGTTTCTCTGCTTCTCTGACTTAAAAAGAAATGGTATACTGAAAGTTATTTATTTGTTTCACATAATTCTACTTAAATCGCTTGAGATATCTGCTTTCTAGCTTCTCATTTAAAAAATCTCTCAAGTAATCTTGAAATACACAGTAACTTTTATTTTGATTTTCCCATTCAGCTTGGTGTTTAATTCTTTGAGATTCAGTGATTCAAGCTTTTAGTAAATTACCATTATGATTCTATTACATCATCAACTCCAGAATCATAGTACCAAGAGAAAAAAAATATATAAACTCACAAGTTTAAATTTGCTACAACTAATTATTGAAAAAAGCATTTTAATACTAAATCAGATTTTTAAGGCAGAGATCATACAACTGATACAAACTCCAAAAATTAGCAAAATCCCTGACACTCATTAATAAGCTCATTGTCTTTGATAGTGTCGTAATGATGTTTTTATTACATGAAAAGCTTTGTATAAGTTGGAAAAATACTTACGAGACATCATCAAATGTCTTTTTTTAACCTACATAAAAATAGCAACTAAAAAAGCACATCAGAAACATAATACCCTCAGTTAAAGAGTCGTTTTTGTCTGAAAATGGAAGAAAATCTAACATATTTACCATTTCCCCACAGTTGGCATGTCTCTATCAGTTAGAAAGGAGGACAAAAGTATACAGTGAAATGTGATTTCACTCAGTAGCTTGAGGCAGCCAGCAAAAGAATTTTGACCTTACAGTGTCTCCTTCAAAGGATGCTGTTCGAGCAAGTGTTTTCTTCACAAAAAGCAAAACCAGTCACTGTTCAAAACCAACATGGCTAGGCTGAAAATTTCAGCAACATCTGTGAATTTCTCTGCAAACTCATCAACAGGAACAGGTGGTAATTTACCAACCAAATAAGCAAGGTAAATGACTCCACAGAGAACTCCTTTGTATAGGACGGACTATGGGGGTTGAGGAAATCAGATTGCATTCTAGAGATCCACTACGTAACATTGTGCCTGTAGTTAACAACACGAAACTGTGCACTTAGAAATCTGTTATGAGGGTAGATCTCATATTAAATGACCTCCTAAAATATGCTGGAATGATGTCTCTCATCTTTTTTTCTGTTTAAAATTAGGTGTAGTATTTACACTGTTTTATTAATTTTACTATTTTTGTCAATAGTGTTAAGGAATAATTTACATACAATATAATTCACACATTGTAATTGTACAAGTCAATGATTTTTTCCAAACATGTATCATGTAACCACTATCCCAATCGAAACATAGAAAACCGGTGGCAGTGGGCTTGGGGGAGGGGTTGAGGGGGGGCAAGGGAAGACAGGGAGATGTTGGTCAAAGGATACAAAATTTCAGATAGAGGGGAGGACTCCTTCAAGGGATCCATTGTGCAACATTGTGACTCTAATTAATAACAATGTATTGTTATTACTTGAAATTGCTAAGAGAGTAGATTTTAAGTGTTCTCACCACAAATCAACCGTAAGTATGTAAGGTAATGCGTATGTCAGTTAGCTTGATTTAGCCATGCCACAAGGTGCACACATGTGGAAATATGTTGTATACCATAAATATATACAATTATATTAAAATTAAGCGTTAACTTAAATAAATAAATAAATAAATAACTTTTTCAAAAAGATATAAAATAGTTTCATCTTGCCAGAAATGTGTCTTATGTTCCTGTGTAGTCAAACTCTGTCCACCACCCTCTGACCCTGGAATCCACTAATCTAATTTTGACCGCCACAGATAAGGTCCTGCCTGCTCTGGTATTTGAGGCAATGGAATCACAGGGTCTGTGCTCTTCTTCCGAGACTAGCTCCTCTTACTCAGCATCGTGTGGAAGGGGGTCTTCCTCAGCCATTCATTTGCACAAGGTGTCTGCAGCAACAGCACCAAAGCCACACTCCAGACTAGTAGGAGTTATCCATATGGCACGAGTGCCATCTGTGTCAGTTCTTAAAATGTTTCTCCTCTGGCCAAGGGAGGGAGGCAACCACAGTGCTGCTCAGGACACTGAAGGGATCCCTTCCTCCCACCTTGCTGGAGCCTCCCGGTAGGAGCCCAGGCCAGCCAGCAACCCGACGTTCTGCCTTGTGAAACCTGAAGAAGTCAACTGAGTGAGCCTGGACTTCTGACCTACAGAACTGTGCAGCAATACATTTTGGTTCTAAGCTACTTAGTTTGTAGAGGTTTTTTACAGCACCTGTAGAAAACCAATACAGCTCCCTATCTGAAAGATAGGGACTCTGACTCTACACTGTTAGAATGATGACCAATGAATAAAGAAAGATGACCATTGTGTTATGACTAATGTTCACGGAGCCAATTTGATGCCAGCTGTCCAAAAGAGGATATTCCATGTGAGGTAAAGAATTTGCTCTTTGTTTATATTTGTAAATGAATTAAATACTTCTTAAGACGTGAAAGGACTAATTAAATCCATAGCTACCCAATTCTTCTGCATAAGTAAGTGAATTATTTCATATATCTGTGAATGTATTGTGATTAGTTACATTTAATTCATGCATTCATTGAACGAACGTTGTTTGAACGTCTACTATGTGCCAAGTACTCTCTAGTTGTTGGGATACAATAATAAGTGATACACGGGGAAAATCCCTGCTTGCATAGAGTTTCTATTCCAGAAAGGTGAAGCCAACTGGGAAGAGGGATGGGGAGGGAGATAGGGAAAGGGAGCATAGGGTCTAGTGTGTATGTGTGGACAGGGGTTACAGAGGGCCTGAAATTTAAAACAGAGTCATCAGGGAAATCATCCTGGAGAAATTGATGTTCAAGCCAAACATGGAGACTTGTGCCCTGGGCTCCAGCCTGCCGGCATGCTAAGAAGCAAACAGGGGCTGATGCAGCTGGAGCTGGGTGGGGAAGATGAATCAGAGGCGGATCTGGGGCCTAGGGACTGGCCAGGTCCTGTAGGGAGAAGGAAGCCCTGGGGGCTGGGACAGAGTGGCAGGTATGACTCTGCTGTTAGGGAATCTTTCTGGCTGCTTGTGCCGAGGGCAGGCTGCAGTGGAACAAGTACTGGAGGAGTCCTCCCACCCATCAGGAGTCCTCCCCAGTGCTATCCTGTATTGATACAAATGCATGTTTCACCATGCACATCTGTGCTTGTGTATAAATACGTAAGATAAGATCTTGTCTGGCAGATAAGAGCTTGGTACAGAACAGCTCAGTCCCGCTCTCCTGTTCTATGTATGCTGCGGTTCTTCCCTTTAAAACTGAACCTGCACGTGAACATGACTTGCATCTGTTTTTATTGATACCCTGAAGAGCTCTACGCATATTCTTATTTGATTGTCATCAGTAAAGCAATTAGAAGAAAAAAATCTAAACTACTATGTATGTATTACTCCGTTAACACATTTTTCTCTTGCAGGTTGAACAGCTGGTTTCTTGAACCAACGCATAACATTTATTGGAGTGGTTTCCCACCCCCTCCTGCTAGGTACCCCGGCCATCTGGAAAGAGGACTTCCGAAGTTCAAATACCAGTCTCTTGTGAAAATAGAATTTACTTAAAACTTACTCCATATCTCTAGTAGTTGTAGATGTTTACAATTTAGAAAATTCAAAAGAGTTTTTCTTTTGTGTTTTGCATTTCTTTCTGATTAACCAATTAACTCAGATGTGTGCGCATGTCGTAAACTTAGTTGGTGCTCTCCAAATATTTATTGAAGAATTAATTAATTTTAGGTATCAGGTAAATTCAACTGATCACAGCAAACTACGGAACCAGTAGCTGAAAATAACTGTGAAGGTAATTGCTACAGAGGAAATGCTATTTGAACAAGCTAATTTGCTTCAAGATGGGATCTGAAAAGGGATTCTTGGAGCTACTTGGGTATGAGAAGGACTGCCTGAAAAGACATTTTCTTTAGGCTTCCCAGAATTTGAATTAAAAGAGAAGAGAGAGACTGCTTGAAGACACAGTGGAAGATTAAAAATATCCCTGGCACTAAAGCCTTCAGAGTTCTTCAACCACAACTGCCCTGGTTGCAACAACAGAGGCCACTGGGCCCCATTTTCATCAACTTTTGAAAATTGCAACAATTAACAGTGTTCTTCTCAAGAGAAAACTCTTCTGACATGGGTTTTCATGTTTAAAGTAAAAAAGGAACACCCCACAAACATTCTTTCTGACCTACACCTTTTCTATTTTCTAGTGGAAATTGTAACCACAGGTTACCATGTTTTCCTTCCTGTGTTTGAAAACCACATGTGTTTTAGTGAAAACATTAAGGTGAGTAATGAAATGGAAGGTTTCAAAGTGCCAGCCACCTGTCACTAGAAATGGAAATATCTCACTTATTCTTTCTTCTACAGCAATAAATTAGAGTGAGCAGAAGGTGTAATTTTTAGTCAATCCATCTCAGCTGAATACAAATCATGCATCCTGCTGGAGTAAAAATATTATACAAATATTTGTCAGAGTTAGGTTCTTTTGCACTTTATGGATTTATCAAGTGGAAAGAAATGTTATCTCATCCATTGCTTTGTTTTACAGCAGAGGAAACTGAGGCCCAGAGAGATCATGGGACTCCCCAAGTCCTCATGGCTTGTCAGTGGTGGAGCCCAGACCTGTCATGATCATGAATCTGGGAGTTCTAGGACTCTGAAGTCCACCATCTGCCACCACAGCACACTGCCCTGCTCCCCTGCTCCCACAGCAGATAACAGCAGAAAAGGGGCAGGGAGGGGCAATACTGAGTGCTTCCTAGGAACTTCCACGTTTTATTTCAACTCATTCTCACCTGTGAGTAGATAAATACAAGCAGAGGCGTGTTGTACAAACTAGCCAGCACCTACTATGTGAGCATGTTCTTCAAGTATCAATGGAAGATGTTTGTTACGAGGATTTGTTGCCGTTACAGGTGAGGAAGAAGGTGACATGTTTCTTTAAGGCTGAGAGTCAGAAGCCAAACAAGTTAACATCTACTCTTTTCTAAAAGCATAGCTTGACATTTTCCTCTATTTCTCTGACTTTCTCAGCAACACCAGAAATATCCTTAGGACCATAAGCTAATTGCCAGCCGACTCACTGGAGGGGATGGTATCTCAGCAGCCACAGGTGTCTGCCAGTGAAAAGCTGAAGGTGTAGCTGGGTGAGGAGAGCAGTCAGGAGCCTGATGTCCATTCCCACCTGGCCATGTGCGGCTTCCTCTGCCTGCCTCACTCTGTCACCCTGTGCCCCTCTCTGCTCTGGGCACAGCTGGCTACTGAGGGATGAGCCCCTCAGGACACCTCCTCCTTGAATGACTACTATCCCAGCACTTGATCCTGGATTTAGCAGCTGTGCCAACTCAGTTTTGTCTGGGTAATCAGTACATGATGCAAAAACATGCAAGAGACTCACCTGTTATCCGTCACAGAGGGTCTGCCTCAGATCACCGGTATTGTTCAATCACCTGGGAGGCTAAACCACGGATCAAAATGGTTCTCCATGAGCAAAGACAAATATGGTGAAACAATGATCAAGAGGATATTTGTCTCAAGCTATCAGAGGTGTATCCTCCAGCAGTTTAGGAAGATTTTCAACTCCTTAAGGAAAGAAGTACAATTAAGTACAATTGAACAATTCAGAAAACAAGATGACAAATTCTTATCATCCAACCCTCTTTTATTTATTTTTCCATAAGTTTTTGGGGTACAGGTGGTATTTGGTTACAGGAGTAAGTTCTTTAGTGGTGATTTGTGAGATTTTGGTACACCCATCACCCAAGCAATATACTTTGCACCATATTTCTAGTCTTTATGTCTCGCCGCCCCCTACCCTTCCCCCCAAGTCCCCAAAGTCCATTGTATCATTCTTTTGCCTTTGCATCCTCATAGCTTAGCTCCCACATATCAGTGAGAACATATGATGTTTGGTTTTCCATTTCTGAATTACTTCACTTAGAATAATAGTCTCCAATCTCCAGGTCACTGCAAATGCTGTTAATTCATTCCTTTTTATGGCCAAGTAGTCTTCCATCGTATAAATATACCACAGTTTCTTTATCCACCAACCCTCCTTTTAAATATTCTTTGTCCAGCCCCAAGACTTTTAGCCTGAAAATCTCATCTCTTATTAACTCAAATTAAAATCTCCCAGATGATTATGTTCCCTGTACTTATACTTTATGTCAATGACGTGATGACACTTTCACCTCACAGATGAGACGCGCCACCTCTGAGGGACAGAGTGAGGAAATCCTCACCACTCCTGCTTGTTCTTTGTGCATTCTTGCTATTGGATTCCATTTAGAAATTGGCATGGACTGCCTTCTGCCCAGGTTGAGATAAATTCTACTTTTTAAGTGTTTGAGGCATTTAACCACTGACTACAATGTGAAATTCACACTTTACTGAACTTTTTCCTTTATCGAGAATTTTTTAAAGCATTATTATTTGCTCTACGTAAGACATGGTGCCAGAAAACCAGAGGAGATACCAAAAGAGATATAAAACAAACTCGGCCCTGGGGGGACAGAGATGGGGGTGGACAGGGAGGAAGCAGGAGAGAGAGGAAGAGAGAAAGGTGACAGTGAAATCGAGAGGTCGGAGGAAGCCCCACAGAGAAGGAGGGGGCTTGAATCACAGCAGCGAGGACGGGAAAGGGCTGGAGACACCATTTTAACTAGCACGTCACTCACCAAATAAGAAAAAAGGATTCAGAAAGCATGCATGGCTTATTTAAGGTCACACTGGCAGTAAGCCTAACTTGTCACCTTACAGAACAGCAGAGAGAGAGGGAGAGAGAATGAACACACTTGTCCCCTGCCCTCCACTCACTAAGCTCCTGACGACCTCTCAGTCACCTGGGAAACCAACCCTGTTTCTGGCTACGTAGAAAGGGCTTTGTAAATACAATAATATTATACTTGATTTTCAAGTAATCTTTTTACTGGAATTGACACATGCAGAAAAGACTGCAAGTCACAAATACACAGCTAGATGAACTTTTCCAAAGTGGACCTACCTATTACCTATCCCCTACATCAAGTCATAAAAATAGCACCATGAGCCATCCTGGTGCTCCTTCCCTGGCACTCCACCACCTGCCTCCCCAGATGCAGTAGCTACTCTCATGACTTTCCATTGCATGAATTCAGTTTACCTGTTTTGGGACTTAATGTAAATACAATCATACAGTATGTCTTTTTTTGGGACCTGGCTTCTTTCACTTGACGTTATGTTTTCAGCGTGTGTTCAAGCTGTGGCATGTTTCTACCGACGAAAGTACCACAGTTTTATTGTGCAGCCTCCAGCTGGTGGACGCTTGAGATGTTTCCACTTTGGGGTGATGATGAACTGGGCTGCAGTGAACATGTTGTACATGTCTTTTAGCGCATCTGTCTACATTTTTGTAGGTTATGTACCCATGACATTCCTGGGTCACTGGTTTTGCATATGCTCAGCTTTAGTAGGTACTGCTAAACCATTTTCCAAAGCTGTATGAATTTACATAAGAATTCCACTTTCTCCACTCCCTCCTCATGATGTACATAATGGACTCACTATGTCCAGGGAGTTACAAAGTAGAGCATTGAATTTTTTGAATTTTCTTTCGTAGCTAAGAAATAAAAGAAAGAATTTAAGTTGAGAACTGTAGGAGAGGTCTTCATTCTATCCAAATGCAATCACAAGGAAAAGAGAAAGCATGAGTCTGCAAAAGGTAAGTAAATGTAGAGAGGTTTGGGGAAATAGATACAGATACAAGTGTTTTGTTTTCTAAAAATCTTTTTAGGGCTTTGACTTTATGGAGTGCACAAAGACTATAACCTCAAGAACTCAAGTTTAAAGAATTTCAGTTCTATTGTTTGGTTTCTTTGGCTCAGGTTTTTACTGCGCTCCTAGGAAAGGTGGAAGCTTGGGAGTAAAGCTGTGATAGCTAAAATGTGTTGCACCAAGCTGAGTTTTATCCAGAAGCCTTTTAAGTTCTTAAATGTTTATTTCTTTTCTAGCTCCCTTGGCAAAGCAACGGACAGGACAGAAAGGTTCTAGAGAACAACCATCACGTCTTTTGCTCAAAGAAACTTCCTCAGTGTGATTAAAATCTGATCCACATTTCTGCAGCCCTCCCAAATTGATGTAACTCCTAAATTTACGTACCTACTCTGGCAGTTCCATATCAGTTGCTTCAGATTGACCTTTTCCTCGTGTTAAAAGCACGTGATCCCACTTATTAAACAAGGAGTTTGTGGTTTTCTTTCACTGTGCAGTGGAAAGGCTTTTAAAAGTTGCTTTGGAAGAAAGAAAATTTGAAGTCATTCTTTGGAGTTATAAGGGCAGATTTAAACAGTATCATTACTCATTCTTTGAGGTTTTTTATGTGTGTAGGAATAATATTTGTCCTTCAGTAAAAAACAAAGTAGCTAGTCCTATTCAGAGCAACCAGAACATTCCAATCAGCTGCCTAAAAATCACATCTGCAATTTTCTAAAAAATAAAACATCAGCAAATCAAGTAAAAACCAAAGAAACAATTTTAAAAATGATGTTGTGGCCTAAACTATAAACTGTATGGTATAGAAATTTTGTGCTTCAGTCTCAAGATATGTGACCTCAGCCACAAGGAGGATAAAATGCCAAAGTACTGACAGGTATCTATATTTTGAGATTAGCAATCATTTCAAATTTCTTTTATAGACAGTTTTATATTTTTCAAAATATTTATGGTGAATATTTATTACTTCATAATCAGGCAACCAGTAAAAGTTATTTTTAAAATAAAATAATTCAAAAAAGTATAGATAAAAGAATATTTGAAAACACCAAAATATTATCTGTCTTTAGGTGGTGACATTCTGGCTAATCTTTTTTCTTTTCTGTAATTTCTAGTTGTGTGTGTGTGTGTGTGTGTGTGAGTGTGTATGCATAACCTTTATCATAAGAAAAATAACAAATATTTCTCAAAATCTACATGTGGAATATGACCCTTTCTTTTAGCCTTTGCAGCAGGTGGTGAGAATTCTCTAGACAGAGTTCAGCAGAGCTCCTAATGAAGCCTGACTGGGTTCTGATCCTGGCTCTGGCAGTCACTTGCTTTGTGATCTTGTGTAAGTTATTTACTTTCTCCGAGCCTCAAGTTCTCATCTGTAATGTGTACATAATCCCCATATCATAGGATTGCTGTAGGGTTAAATAAGATAGTATTTGGAAAATACTGTGATACAAATGCTCTATAATGGGTAGTTATTAATTCAAATTGCACCATTCTCTTCTTGAGGCTTATAGGGATCAAAGCACTTTAGAGGTTATAGCTGCTCAATCTTGCCTATAAAAATGCCAGGATGTGATATGAATATACCCTCCTTTTACTAATTTTAAAATCAACACTTTGAGAAGAGTTTGTGAAATAATGCATGATATTTGTAATCTGTGTAGAAAAGCAAACACATTTTCTGATTTCAAATACCACGTATCTTTGATCTTCAAACATCATATCTCCATTAAATTCTCATAAGAGATGTAAAAAGATTAGTTCATTTTTAAAATTACTTTTAATATTATACAAATATTAAAAATAGAAACGGAAGCTAATAGAAATACAGATGTAAGCTATTAAAACTATTCCTTAAATATAAGATATTTTTCTTCAATCATCATAGTGCATTTTATTTAAGTACCAGGCAATCCAGGTGTGGTTTTGTTTGTTTTAATGAGTAAAATGGAGATAGAACATCTGCCTTCTGGGTGATGTGCTGGACTCCACGCGCATGGCTTTCCCTCTCTTATGTGCTGCCTCTACGTAGTGATAGGCAGACAAAAAGGAAAGGAAATGTCAGCTTGGCTCCACTCCCAGCAGATGAGCCAATCCAAGGTGAAAGAAATAACCCATCTCAAGGTTTGCCTCTTGGGTCCCAAACAAACATTTTGAGGGTGAGATGCTTGAGTTGAGGGATCAACTGTGACCAAGAAACAAAGCACGTCTAAGTGACTCACACAACAGGTGCACATGGTCAGCCACATTAGGCCACTGTGCTAAGCCACCAAGAAAAAAAATAAATCTTTATATTTTTGTTCCACAAAAGTTTTTCTTTAAAAGTGAATGGTCGAAGTGATGATGTAACCAAAAGAGCTGGACACCACACAGAAAGTAATGATTTTCAGCGTTTTCCTGGTACCACCAGTATAGGCTTTTTTGAGGGTGTTTGAAATTTTTTTATACCAGTGAATATAGGAAATGAGCAGTGAGTACCACTAGAAGCAAATAGCAGTACATCCCCCATCGCTGACAATTAGTACTTTCTTTAATTTGATATTTAGTCTCAGAATTTTATAGCTGGAAGAAACCTGATAGAATATCCTGTGTAGCCCAGCATACTTTCTGTAAAATGAGAAATCCTCTTCCCAATTTGTGTGTGTGTGTGTGTGTGTGTGTGTGTGTGTGTTAATGGCAGAATAAAGCCAGGCTATGGACAAAGGAGAAGGGAGTGATGAGGATCAGGTGTGGCATTTGCCTTTCCAAAAAAGAGATTGAGTGACTTACTCTAAAGTAAGTTCCCCTTCAAATCTAAAGCAATTGCACTATGTCAAACTATAAAATTGCAACAATCAAATTTATAAATATGATAGTTTTCATCTTGATTTCTTCCTCCTGGATTTACAGATAATAAATCTTCCTCCTGAGATTTATTAATCCTTCCTGGGGAGGACTTACCATTAAAATGTATGGTCTTTTGCATTTTCAGGCTGCTGTTGCTTTTACCCTGGTGGAAGATAATCACTAAAAAGTAGTCTCTGTGGATTATCTAATCAATATCTCTTCAATTTCAGATAAAATTTTATACTCACTTGGGCCTTAATTATTGTGCTAATATCTCTAGGCTTCCCAAATCCAGGAGAACTGTGTCTGTGGATCTTTAGAAATACTTGGACTGACTAGTTTTATGCTGGTTCTACCCTTAGAATCCAGAAACAGGCCAGAAGCATATCCTGTTAACTTGTATCTATGTTAAGAAAACATTGAAAATGTAATTATTCACTATCTGATTTAGAAACTGATGTTACAATTAGCATCTCTGTATTGGTAGTGGTAACAACAATGACAACAAATTGTACCCATAGAATTTCCACAGCCATAACTAAAACCAGATGGCAAATACTGTTTTTATAACTCCCACCTTTAAAAAAAAAAACCAAAGGAACCGTTTCTTGTTTAATTTCATTCTTTGATAGTTGTAATAGTAATTGACACCGAGGAAAAAACAATCTACTCTAAATATTCTACACAGTAAGGATTAAATTTCATTTTCTATGGTTTTACTATTTAGTGGGCATTGTGATACATTCTAATCTACACATTGCCCCTCTACCCATGCCTTGTCTTTTGTCCTCAGAATATCTTATTAATCAGAACTTTCATAAACATACACAATTCTTTGACTGTTTCAAGAGTCAGGCTATATTTTCAGCTCTTGTCTTGTTTCTGTGAATATGGTGGCAGAAATCATGGATTTGAGGGTCAACTGGACTGGTGTCAAGCAGTCCCCTACCGTTTATTAGCTGAATGAGCTTAGGAAATCATTTGTTTAACCTTTAAGTCTCAATTGTCTCATCTGTAAAATGAAGAGGATATTATCCATCTCAGGGGATTCATTGTTAGAATCAAATTAAATAATTGAAATTAAGTGTGTAACACTACGCTTCGACACAGGTAGTAAATGTACGATAAATATTAACTAATATTCACACATTATCTTTCTCTTAAATGAAGGAATAATACATACTTCCCTTCCCTTGTGTAAGATTTTTTGAAGTAACTTAACATTACAAAGCATGTCTAATGAATATTTTAAATAATGGAACTTTCAAATATATATTATGAACATTTTTTAAACCTTAACCTAGGGTAAGGTTTCCATTCACCTTTCACTGGTTTCGAAGAGTTGATATCAGTTTTACTATCAACAGTAATTGAGGTTTATCACTCCCCAAGAGGAGGGTCAGTTTTTTTTTTTTTTTTTTTTTTTTTCAGGGTTTAGAGCTATTTTCTGGCAATAACAATTTCTAACTTCTAATTACCCTTTTTCCGGCTTGAAAATCTAAAGTTGGATTGAAGAAGAGAAATGACAACATCTCCCTTTTACTTATCCAAGCTGTGAATTTAAAATACCTTTCGTTTTTGTTTGTTTGTGCCTATCAACTTTGACCCATAGCTCCCAGAATAATTTTGATATTTTCTGAATAAATTGACACTAGACTTTATACATCACTCATGTCTTTATTTAGGGTAGGCCACTGTCCTCTAATTCCATACTGATTCTTCTGGGTACTCTGGTGAGCCACTCAAAAAACAATTTCTGCCAAACCTTTGGGAAAGTATCAGTGGTTTGGTGGCCAAATTCCTCATCAAATAGTGCAAACTGGTTTCCTCCAAGCTGTGACTTCTGCAGAGACAGAAATGTCCTTGTTAAGTAACACTGTCCTCAAATTTTCTATGTGTATCATAGCCTACTTCCTCCTGAATACTACCTTTCTCCAAATCAAGACTCAAAATAATATGTTTTCTTTTTAATTTCTATCCTAAATCCCATATAGAAGGAAGGATGCAAGACGTGGTCTCCATGGGAGACAGAGTATAATCACCAACTAGGTCCAAAAGAAAAGCAAAGTCGTGTCCTGGGTTCCTTTTTCCAAGTTCCGAGTTGTGGGAAGATGGGTTGTGGCAGCTCCGGGAGCAGACACATAGGATTTCCTCCTTCCTCAGCTCTCAGGAGGGCCGCTGGATCCAAGGCAGGGGTCAGGTATTTCCGAGATGAAGTGAACTGAATAGGGCGGCTACCCGAAAGGCAGTCCTCAGCATTATTCCAGGAAACATCAGGGCAGAACCTGAAAGAGGAAAAGAAGTACACAGCTGAAAGTTAGGGTGTGTTTAACGTAGTGAGTGGAACCTCACCGCCCACGTGTCATCCCCTCCAGGAAATGCCATTTCCTCTTCCAGGAAACAAAGGTGTGGAGAACTTCTGAGAGCAGCCACGTTTATATAACTAAGAGACAGTGTCTAATAGAAAACAGAAACACCCCATGGCCTGGGAAAGGAGATGGCGGGTCTACAGGATGCTGGCATCAAGAATATCTAGAGGTGTCCACTACACCTAATGGATACCAAGAACAGATGTGAATTTTTTGTTTTAGATGAAATTTTACGATAAAAAAATCCCAATTTTGTAGATATATGATGGATGTTGTTTTAAAAGATCTGATCTTCAGGTTAACGGGTTTCCTGTTGTAGGACTATACGATTATAGGACAATTGAGTAGCCAAGAGTCCTCAAAGATCAGTTGTCCAAAAGAGAAAGAAAGAGAAAACTGAGTGTACGATGTAAGAATGGAGAATTGGCTGGGCGCAGTGGCTTATGCCTGTAATCCCAGCACTTTCGGAGGCTGAGGTGGGCGGATCACCTGATGTCAGGAGTTCGAGACCACCCTGGCCAACATGGTGAAACCCGTCTCTACTAACAATACAAAAATTAACTGAGCATGGTGGCAGGCACATGCCTGTAATCCCAGCTACTCAGGAGGCTGAGGCAGGAAGAATCACTTGAATCCAGAAGGCAGAGGTTGCAGTGAGCCAAGATTGTGCCACTGCACTCCAGCCTGGGTGACAGAACAAGACTCCATCTCAAAAAAAAAAAAAAAAAAGGAGAATTAATTATTCAGCAGCTCTTGAGATGGTGGCTCCAGCCTGACCTGGGTTTGAATCTTGGTTCTGGTACTTTAGTAATTGTGGGATCTTGAGCGAGGTACATAACCTTTCTAAGCCTTGTTAGTCTCTTCTGTTAAAGAGAGATGATAATGATGATGATACATATCACATCAGATTATGAATATTATATGAGTAGTGCGTCTAAAGTCATCACAGGCTGGGCATGGTGGCTCACCCCGATAATCCCAGCATTTTGGGAAGCTGAGGTAGGAGCATCACTTGAGCCCAGGAGTTTTAAACCAGCCTGGGCAACATAGTGAGACCCCGTCTCTACAAAAAAATCTTTTTAAATATTAGCTTGGTCATGGTGATGTGTGCCTGTAGTCCCAGCTATTTGGGAGGCTGAGGTGAGAGGATAACTTGAGTCCTGGGGGATCAAAACTGCAGTGAGCTATGATCACGCCGCTGCACTCCATCCTGGGCAACACAGCAAGACTCTGTCTCAAAAAGAAAAAAAAAAGTCCTTATCATACCTGGTGTATATATGAAACTTTTTCTAAAGCCACTAACTACTGATTAAATTAACAGGACATATGAGCTTCCTTTCAGTGCCTAATTGTCAATGAGAAACCCAGATATGGAGCGTGAGGAATCTACCATCTTCTAGGCACAGTAGCTGTTATCCGTTTGCCATTTCTTCTTTGCACTGTAACAGGATCCGCTGAAAAACAATTGGAGAAAGAGCCAGATGGATGGCAGTCTGAACTAGGGAAGCTTCTGTTTTGTAGTTTGCAGAAAGAATCTGCATGGGGATCACTGCTTAAGCTTTGCCTCTTTGTTTCCAGACACAGACGCACTTTCCTGCCTAATTTCCATAGCAAATACCCAATGAGCGCCTACTGTATGCCAGGTTCTGATGATGTCAGAGTGAGCCAGCACTTCCGAGGTACTGGCCACTCTCAAACCTCCTGGCTAGGATCTTCCAAGAGCTACAGCCTCTGGCCTGAGGGTCAGTCCAATGCTGTTAGATATTGACAAATGCGGGGCTAATTTTAATGGAATATAGTTTTATCCTTAAAAGGTGTGTGTGTTTTGGCTTTATTTGGGTTCATATAGATTAGGGGCATCATCATAACTCGCTTCCTAGTGCAGACCTGAGTGATTTAATCAAGTCTTGAAACACTTCGGGGCCTCAGTTTTTCATCTGCCTTCCCAACCTCTGAGGTTCTTTTTAGTTGACATCCTACATTCCCATGATCAGAAGGCTGCTAATTCAACTTTTGGCTTTTGTTAAACCTTTTTTTTTTTTGAGGCAGAGTTTTGCTGTCACCCAGACTGCAGTGCAGTGGTGAGATCTCAGCTCACTGCAACCTCCTCCTCCCAGGTTCAAACGATTCTCCTGCCTCAGCCTTCTGAGTAGCTGGGATTACTGGCACGTGCCACAACACCCAGCTAATTTTTGTATTTTTAGGAGAGACACGATTTTGCCATGTTGGCCAGGCTGGTCTCAAACTCCCAGCCTCAAGCGATCCACCCGCCTCAGCCTCCCAAAGTGCTGGCATTACAGGCATGAGCCACCGCACCTGGCCTGTTTTGTTTTGTTTTAATCGTTTTTAATGTCTCTCTCAAAACAAGAAAAGAAAAAAGGACAAAAAATTACTATTTTACTTCTCAGATTAATCTGATCTTAGTACACTACAGCAACAAAAGTCTTAATCAAGTACGTTTTAATTATTTGGTGTCATCATTGCAAGGAAACCATTCAGTAAGAATATTAGTAACCAGACATATAATTTTCTAACCTGAATGAGAAATTAGTTACATGGAGTATAGAAAAAGAAACCACCCCGTTTATCCTCCCTGTGACCATCATTAGTATTACCCGCAAGGCATAAAAAGTCCTAAAATGACACGCACGGCGGCAACATTACCTTTGCAGCTTCAAGCACAGTAAAGTTGAAAGCAGTCCCACCTTGGCAATTGTGTATAAAACGACAATGTGCAGATACAGGAAAAGTCCCAGGTCCGAAGCCACCTAGGAACGATGACCCCAGGACAGAAGTGTGCCCAAACAAATGCCTGGGGTAGGTCATTTTAAAAGGAACAATGTTTACAAGCCCTTTCTAGCGTGAAAAACAGAGAAAAGAGACCCAGCTCTTTCCACCCAATCTGCTGGAGCGCCGTTTCGTTTTCAGTTGGGCGAGAGGGAGACATGTGGCCTCTCGCCCCTTTTCCTGACTCTGAGAATGTGGCCGGAGCCGGGGCGCTCCTGCTCCGCCTCGCCGCCCTCCCGGGGCTGTCCTGGGCCCTCCGGCCGCCGCCTCCCGCTCCAGTTCGCAGCTGGGCGACAAGTGGCTGGTAAGGAGGCCAGGGGCGGGAGCCTGGGCGCGGGACCGGGGGCGCACGGCGGGGGACCGAGCGCGCGTCCCTGGCTAGAGGTGCCGGGTCCCGGGAGGCCGGGCTGGCGGGGAGGCTGGCGAGCGCCCCCTGGCGGGCACCGCCTTCTAGGCGCACCCGCAGTGCGCCGGGCCCGCCAGCCCCGCCAGCCCCGCCAGCCCCGCCAGCCCCGCCAGTCCCCGCGCAGTCCCCGCGCAGTCCCCGCGCAGTCCCAGCGCCACCGGGCAGCAGCGGCGCCGTGCTCGCTCCAGGTAGGGCCCCGCGCCCCGCGCCGCCGCCGGGAGGGAGCGGGCTGGAGGGGCCGAGACCCGTGGCGAGAAGGGCTACCCGGGCCCCTCGGAGAGCCTCCGGGAAGGGGTGAGGGCTGCCGGGTGAGCAGGCGGAGTAGGAAATGGAACCAAGCGGGCGCAAGAGCGCACCGGGAAGAATTTCCCCGCTGGGTTTCTGGGACGCAGGTCGCACGGGATGCGGGATGCTGGCGACCTTAGCCGGGTGGGGGCCGCCGGCCTGGGGGCGCTTCCTCCTTTCTTCTCCCTTTTCCTTCTCACCTGAACGAAAGGGGGCCTGCGGGGAGGGAAGAAGGTGGAAAGTTTTTGTATTCTTGGTAAAAAAAAAAAAAAAAAATGCGTGAGGAAACATGTTTTCTGGAGATGGTATCCTGTCCACAGGGGAGCATAACCCCTTTTCTGGGAATGTATTGGAGCACGGACGGGGGTGCCATTGCTCAGGCTTCTAAACAAGCCAAGTTTCTGGTCAAGGGCCTGGGGGAGGGGGAGGCAGGTCTTTGAAAGATACCAAAAAAAAAAAAAAAAGAAAAATCTGCGTGCTCATTCCTGTAGCCTCAAGTGAGGTTATTCCCCAGCTTTGAGGGCCAGGTTAACCAAGCAAAGTTTGTGCAATAAAGTATCTTTGTGGTATTGGATTTTCGAGAGCCACCGTTATCAATGGGAGAGTGACTGTTGAATGCTACAGGCGTGTGCACTCCCCCGTGGGCATGAAGAGAGGTCCACGGGCTGGCTGGATTGGGAGACTCCGGTCATTTCTGCAAGGAGAGCGCCACAGGACTGCCTTGTTCCCTGGGCTGTCCTGCCCCTGTGCGGGCTGGACGTGGTGCTATAAAAGATGATTCAGGAGTGGCACAGGCTGAGGGGGACTAGGCTGGAGAAGGTGGAGGGAAGAGGGAGCACTCCGTGCCCTCTTCCTGTCCATGGGAAATGAACCATCTGTGCCTGGTGTCCAAGTCCTTGACGTTCCAGTTGCCCTTTGAGAGCACACCTCAAGCCTGCTGAATTCTTTTAAGAACCACCTACAAGATCTGAGAAGTCCGCCCATGCTTTCTGTCAACTCCGGCCTCTTTGACCTTTTCTTTTGCCAAAGAAAATTCTAAACCACTGGGATTCGTGAGGCTCCGTGAGAGAGGCAAGAAGCCTGGAGGGTCCACTCCGTTGCTCTTTTCCCTTGGTTTGCTCCCTAGAAGCCATGGTCCCCACTGGGCCCTTCTTGCCCGAGGCTGTGTGATAGACAAGCCCTATTCCTAAGGTCCTGGGTCCCCCACCCCACCCCACACCCCGACCTTGTGAATCATCATCTTCATATTTTCCCTAACTTATCTTTGGTAACCCTTGTAAAATGGCAGGCTTACTGCGGATGCTTAATCTCTTTTAAAAGTGCTGTGTCTAGCGGGAAGAAGAGTGACATTTACTAATATGGTTGCAAATTACTTTTGAAGTTTATGCACAGCTGTTTAAAATCCCTCTGAGATCAGTGCCATTGTTTGATGCAGGTGCTTACCGCAGAAGGCTCTTGTTAGTCCCTTCCTCCTGCTGATTGAACATACATATATTTAAAGACGTGGCGTAGGGAGAGCTTCTAAAACCTGCAAAGCCAAAGCTGCACAGCTCCTGCAAGTTAGCGATCCACTCTAAGTTTTTCAGTTGTTGTTTCTGTCTTCTTGCCTCTCATGAACTTCTGTTTCTGATTTCAAGAGTAACCTGCTGGGCACCATCAGCCTTTGTTTCAGTGACCTGCGATTTTCTTCTACACTTTAAAAATGTCAATATCCAGGCAAGACTCTTGTCACCCACCATCCGCGTTGTCATGTTCATTTCCGCTACTGTCTTGTGCTGTGGTGCCTCGGGATGGCAACTGTTACTTGAGGAGCTAACTTCTACCTCTGTTCTCCTACAGACATGTCCTCATTGCGTCTTCGCTCACCATACACGGTGCAGCTCCTGGAAATTTGATTTGTTTTGCTGTCTCACTTCTCCTTCAGGCAACAAGGGGATGGTGTTCGATTATTCACACCTCAGCTCCTTCTGTAATCTCAAAGATCCCTTTCAACAATAATACTCTCTGTCTCTTGTTAACGCCAGGCATCAGAAGCCCCCTTACATAGCCGGCTTGTCACTGGTCATTTCTATAAAGTATTCTCATTCTAACACATGCTGTCTCTTCCGTGGAAAAGACTAAATTCTTCTCTGCAATGAATTAGATGTTTTAACCAAAATTCCATGTGGACTGGGTCCAGAATTTTCTTTCAAGAGTATGGGCTTGTGGTACAAGTATGTAACTTCGGGGATTCAGAAGTAGACCTACACAGACAAATCTCCTTATAACGTGTTATTTAATTATGGTATATTTGCCTTTCTGGAAATTAGGAATTAGAGTTAGTACTTCCTGTTTTTAATGCATTTGATTGATGTCTTAGAGTTGCTGATTATGTTGTTGCCCCTAAAAATGTTGCTAATGTGCTGGTTTGTTAACAAGGTTATATTTGATTTCAGGTGATTTCCTTTTTATGGAGTTCAGTCTTTAATTTTTTTCAATAATTTGCCTCAAATCATTTAAAATGATATATTGTTATATAATGAAAATCCCAGCAATATAGACGTGATTCCGTGTGTGTGTGTATGTGTGTGTGTAATCTGTAATTTAAAATAGAGAAATTAGTATTGTGACGGCATACATAGCATTAAACTCATGCTTGCTGTTTCTGTTGTTTTAACACTTTAAGCAGCTCATTTCTAAGCAGCTATGTGTTCAGCTCAGCTTTTTCATACCTATTCCAATTGTTAAGGAAGAAGTCATGAGAAACTATAGAAAAATGTGATGTTGAACCAGAGAGATGGATTAAAAGCTGTTTCCTTACAATGGTGAAAATATCTTTCATTATTTTAACATGCCAAGCATTTATACATGTCAAATTCTGATTGCTCTGTCATCTAAACACATTCTTGGGGACAAAATGAGCATCAGAGTTTTAAAATTAGGAAAGCTCACTCAAGCCCAGAATCATAGATTTTTGCTCCTGGATTAAATTAGCAAGTATTTGGCAGGACATCTTTCTGCAGGTTGCTGTAGGTTGATGTTAGCTTTTGAATTAAGCTAATAGTATTAATTATAATAATAATAATCAGCATCAACAAAACCAATGAAATATGGTTTTGAGTCTTTATTATTTAGAATTTATGTGCTGTATATCATACTCAGAATTTTATTTATATGTAAGAGGCATTACTGCTTCATTTAACCTCCAAAAGCCTTTATAAATTAGATATTATTATTATTCCAGTTTTTCAGATGAGGAAACTGAGGCTCAAGGGGTAGAGCCCCTTGTCCAGGTCTTATAACCAGTCAGTGGTAGAGTCAGGTTAGTTGGACCATCCAGATTAGTCTAACCATCAAGCATTTGCTTTAAACCGCAGTCCCAGGTGACCTACCAGTTAACTTTTTTATTGTGGTTAAAATACACATAACTTAAAATTTAACTTCTTAACTATTTTCTAGCGTACAGTTCAGTGACATTAAGTATATTCACATTGTTTTGCAACCATTGCCATCATCCATCCACAGGATTCTTCTCATCTCCTAAAACTGAAACTCTGTCCTCGTGGAACATTCGTTCCTCATCCGTCTTTCCTCTCAGCCCCTGGCAGCCACCCTTCTACTTCCTGTCTCTAAGATTCTGACTGCTCTAGGGACCTCACAGAAGCAGAATACAGTATCCATCCTTTTGTAACTGTCTTATTTCACTTAGCATAGTGTTCTCAAGCTGTATCCATGTGACAGCATTGGACAGGACTTCCTTCCTTTTTAAGTCTGAATACTATTCCATTTATGGATATACCACATTTTGCTTATCCTTGTATCTGTTGATGGTTGCTTCTATCTTTTGATTATTGTGAATAATGCTGCCGTGAAGAGGAACACGCAGATATCTGTTTGAGGTCCTGCTTTCAATTCTTTGGGGTATGTACCCAGCAGTAGAATTGTGGGGTCGTAGGGTAATTCTATGTTTAATTTTTTGAGGAACTGCCATATTGTTTTCCACAGTGGCTGGACCGTTTTACATTCCCACCAGTGGTAGAAAGGGTCCCAATTATTCCACATTCTCAGCAACGCTGTCTTTTGTTTTGTGTTTTTTGAGATGGAGTCTCGCTGTGTCGCCAGGCTGGAGTGCAGTGGCATGATCTCAGCTCACTGCAACCTCTACCTCCCAGGTTCAAGCAATTCTCCTGCCTCAGCCTCCTGAGTAGCTGGGACTATAGGCACGCGCTGCCACACCCAGCTAACTTTTGTATTTTTAGTAGAGATGGGGTTTCACCATGTTGGCCAAGATGGTCTCGATCTCTTGACCTCATGATCCACCCACCTTGGCCTCCCAAAGTGCTGAGATTACAGGCGTGAGCCACCGCACCTGGGCTTTTTTAAAAATCTTCTTTATAGTAGCCTTTCTAATTGGTGTAAGGTGCTGATAGTTAACTTTTTACCCAATCATTGAATGCCCAATGGCAGGGATCTCTGGGCTGATGCTACTCCTGAGTTCATTGTTTATTTCCTATCCCAGCTTGAGCATATACACCTTTTTCTAGTGTAGAATTAATGGAGGAAATACAACTCACACAGCACCTGAGGGACTAGGGAAGCCATGGAAAGGACAGTCCCTAAAACATAAACAGAATGTCCCGGTAGGTAGGGTTATCTCCACCTCCATGAGGAACCTTATGATTCAGAAATGAGTAGTTGTTGAGAATAAAGTGAACATGGCATCAGTGTTAATAACCCTGAATGTGTGGGACAGATGCTTTTTAGAAGATTAGTTACAGATATAATTATCTTTTGTATGTTATCAGAGCAGGACAAGTTCCCAGGACAATGGAGAGAATGGAAAGGGAAACTGCTATTGAATTCACCAGGCCTTTGTTGCAAGCCTCAGATCACACACCGTGCTGCAAAACCCACAGGGAGATGTGGTCAGGCAAATAGGAAATTATAATGAATTGTGATGAATTCATGAGATATTTGTACTATTTTGTATCAGTTTATAATGTCATGCAACTCTGTTTTATATTTGCTAGTTTCCTTTCTGTCTCTTTTTTCCTCTAGCATGAAACTCCATGAGGGCTGGCATTTTGTCCCTACATGTGTCCCCAGCCACTCTAACAGGGCCTGACACATACCAAGTTGTGAACAAATATGTGCAGAATGATTGTGTGTTTCAGTAGGGGACACACTTGGTATTATGTGCACAGCTAGATTTGGGGTGTCGCAGAGCTGTCAGTGACGGCTCAACTGAGACCTGAAGGGGAAGTGGCAGTGAGCCAGATGGGGGTTCTGGGAGGTAGGAACAGTGTTTGTAGAATGTCCCTGCAGCATGTGAGTCTGGAATCCCAGTGCAGTCCAGTCTAAGCCTTGCAGATGAGTGGAAATGAGCAGAGTAAGCATCACAGCTTCCATTTAAACCTCTGCTCCCCATCCTAATTTGCCATATGACCTTAACCAGTGAACTTCTTGGAGTGTCATTCTCTCCATTTGCAAAGTGAAGAAAATTGTGATCTCTGATAGCAGTGATGCTGCGAGAAAGGAGCATGTGCCAGTGTGTGGGCTATTGCTGGGTGGAGCTGGAGGAGTCAGCTGTGCCAGATCACATAGGACCTGTAAGCAGGTGAACCATATACGTTATCCTCCAGATGGGGACTGTTTATAGAGTGAAAGAGCACGTTATTAATCACTAAGCTTGGGTAACAGGTACAAACCCAGATTGTCCTGGGCAGACTGTCCCGTAGAGTTGTCCTGCGTTAAGTCATACGAAGGAGTTTGATCCTTTTCTAAGAACAGGAGGAACCCTTTAAATGCTTTATCTACCAATGTATACAAGTGCCATTCAGGTTCTCTCCAGCGTTTCAGAGAGTTTTACCTGCCCATGAACTCACAGCACTCGGCTTGCACTGCAAACTCACCTATACGTTGGCAGCTGTCTCCTCACTGGGCACTTAATTCATGAACAACTAGGAGGGAAAGACAACAAGACAGCCAGGGGTCTGCTCTTTGGCTCTTTGCATTTTTTTTTACGGGGTCTTGCTCTGTCGCCCAGGCTGGAGTGCAGTGGCACGATCTCAGCTCACAGCAGCCTCCGCCTCTGAGGCTCAAGGGATCCTCCGGCCTCAGCCTCCTGAGTAGCTGGGACTACAGTTGCATGCCACCATGGCCTGGCTAGTTTGTGCACTTTGTAGAGATGGTGTTTTGTCATGTTGCCCAGGCTAGTCTCTAACTCCTGGGCTCAAGTGATCTGCCCGCCTTGGCCTCCCAGAGTGCTGAGATTAAAGACATGAGCCACCACACCTGGCCTAGCTCTTTTCGCCTTTAACTGGAGTGTTAGCTGATATCAAGAACACATCTTTTGGGTTTTTCTTTTTTTAACCTTGTAACACCTAAAGGACTGCGGCTAAGTGTTAAAAGAAAAAAATTTCTATCTGGTGGTTTAAATATCTGCAGAAGCAGAATCCTTGTCATCCTGAAATTTTTTCCCTGTGGGCAAGAATTCCTAATAAGCGTACAATCTATTGGAAAAATCAAAAAGTAAACAAACTATGGCAATATATTCTAACATGTATTGACTTGTCACTATCGGCCGTTTGCTGTGCTAAGCACTATATGTAGATGATTGCTTGGGTGCTTTGAGAACATGTAGAAGGGAACCAAGTCCTGATTCGGAGGTTCAGGAAAGGCTTTCAGAGGACAAGGTATCGCGGGTGGGGATGGAAGATGTATGGGAATTAGCCAAAAGGACAGGGGTTCAGAGGTGAGCCAAGTCTGTCCTGAAAGTAAGCAGAAATGTTGTTGTTCTTGTCGTTTTGAGAGAAGTTCATCTCAGCTGTGTTCAGCATTTTTAGGGCATAAGCTTCAACATTTTCCGTTCTGTTTTCACTGATATGTTTTAGCTATACAAAAGCAGGCCTTCTACACAGTTTTTCAAACTCCAAGACACAGTCTACTAGTGGGCAATGACATTAATTTTGGGGGTGATAACAAGCATGAAATAGAATAAAACAGAAAATATTAAGATGCATTTCATGTAGGAAGGGTAATTATTTCATGAAACTGTATCATTTGGTTTGGGACACATTAAATCTGTTCGTACCTAAAAGAAGACATTCATGCAGCCAACAAACATGGAAAAAAAACCCTCAATATCACTGATCATTAGAGAAATGCAAATCAAAACCACAATCAGTTACCATCTCCTGCAAGTCAGAATGGTGATTATTAAAAAATCAAGAAACAACAGGTGCTGGCAAAGTTGCAGAGAAATAGGAACGCTTTTACACTCTTGGTGGTGGGAATGTAAATTAGTCCAACCATTGTGGAAGATGGTGTGGCAATTCCTCAAAGATCTAGAACCAGAAATACCGTTTGACTCAGCACTCCTGTTACTGGGCATATATCCAAAGGAATATAAACCATTCTGTTATAAAGATACATGCACACGTATGTTCATTACAGCACTATTCACAATAGCAAAGACATGGCATCAACCCAAATGCCCACCAATGGTAGTCTGGATTAAGAAAATGTACATACACACCATAGAATACTATGTAGCCATAAAAAGGAATGAGATCCCTGTCCTTTGCAGGGACATGGATAGAGCTGGAAGCCATCATCCTCAGCAAACTAACACAGGAGCAGAAAACTGGACACCTTATGTTCTCACTTATAAGTGGGAGCTGAATAATGAGAACATGTGGACACAGGGAGGGGAACAACACACACTGGGGCCTGTCGGGAGGTGGGATTGGAGGGAGGGAGAGCATTAGGAAAAGTAGCTAATGCATGTGGGGCTTAATACCTAGGTGATGGGATGATAGGTGCAGCAAACCACCATGGCACGTTTACCCATGTAACAAACCTGCACGTCCTGCACCTGTATCCCAGAACTTAAAATAAAAATAAAAATTAAAGAAAATTACATACCTATGGCATTTAGTTTTCTATACCATTCCTTTAAGTCATAGAATCAGATGAGCTCAGGGGCTAGAAGGAAGAGGGAGCGATGGGAAGGCAGTCGTTGGTCATGCCCTGGGCCTGGATCGCGGGAATCAGTCATTCAGAAAGCCCCATATGTTGGGTGGGTCTCACAGCTTACAGAGAAGCCAGCTGAGGTGTGCAGGTTAAGAAACTTGATCTAGGGTCACAGATTAAATTACTAGCGCTGACCCCTGATCTCTTGGCTTCTGATGTGGTGGTATTCTTTCCATACCTCCAGGGACTGTGTTCCCAAAGTTTGTTAGTTAGGTGGCTGTTTAGGGAAGGACCACACCTGGTTCCTGTTTGTTTGTTTCTTGGTTTGTTTGTTGGTTTGTTTGTTTGTTTGTTTTTGAGGCAGGGTCTTGTTCTGTTGCTCAGGTTGGAGTGCTGTGACTCAATCTCGGCTCACTGCAACATCTGCCTCCCAGGCTCAAGCAATTATTGTGTCAGCCTCGAGAGTAGCTAGGACTACAGGCATGCACCACCACACCTGGTTAATTTTTATGTTTTTAGTAGAGACAGGGTTTCACCATGTTGGCCAGGCTAGACTTGAAATCCTGGCCTCAAGTGATCCTCCTGCCTTGGCCTCCCAAAGTGCTGGGATTACAGGTGTGAGCCACCCCACCTATCAAGGGAAGATATTTTCTTAAGGGGAGTATGTAATAACAACCATGTCCCTGGTTTGTTAGGAAGGTTATAAACTTTGAAATATACCCATCAGTTTCATAAAGAGCAAGACAGGTTAGGAAGAAATAGTGTTCATTATACAGACTAGAGAGCTTTCAGCTTGACATTGACAAATATAAACTTGGCCACTGTCCCTCCACTAAAGCGTTTCCCTTGCTGCTGGGGAAGGACCGCCTGGTGATGTTGTGTGAGATGATGCACTTTCTTTGCCCCCTCTGTGGTCACTGGGATCACAGCTAAATCCAACTGTCTGCTTTTTCCAGTGTCTACACATAGGCTGATGAGTTCTCCCGGAAAACACGCCGCTCTGCAAATTCAGGATGCCGTAGCTCTGTGACTTCCCACTCCATCTAGGATCTCTGTCTTCCCCAGCTCCCAGACGTTTCCCTGGCCAATGATCTTCCTTCCCACGGCAGCTTCTCCACAGCTGCTCCTGCCTCCGCCGTCCCCTCGCACTCAGCAGCTGTCTTGCCTCCTGCTTCCCTGAGAAAGTACAAGTTTCCCGATTCAGAACTGCCCCCACCTGGGGATCACAGGGCTGCACGCCTCACTTTATCTGAATCCATCCTCTCATCCTTCTTTTCTTTCACAACGAAAGAAACCCCTCAGTTCCAGCCAGGCACAGTGGCTCACATCTGTAATCCAAGCACTTTGGGAGGCCAAGGTGGGTGAATCACTTGAGGCCAGGAGTTTTAGACCATCCTGGCCAACACGGTGAAACCCCGTCTCTACTAAAAATACAAAAATTAGCCAGGCGTGCTGGCGCATACCTGTAATCCCAGCTACTCGGGAGGCTGAGGCAGGAGAATCGCTTGAACCCAGGAGACAGAGGTTGCAGTGAGCCGAGATTGCCCCATTGCACTCCAGCCTGGGTGACAGAGCAAGAGTCTGTCTTAGAAAAAAAAAAAAAAAAAGAAGCCCCTTAGTTCCTGTCTGAGGCTCACCTCCCCTGGGGCCCTGGAATCCATTTCTTTCTTGTTCTTGGGAATCTCAATCTCTTATCTTCCCTGTCACCTGCATTTTCCTTCTCTCCCTCATTTCTGGCCCCATTCTCTCTGTATTAAGTGCGCTTAAATCCCTTCCTTCTGTGAAAAAAAGAATATATATCCTTTTATACCTTCCTCCAGCTACTTCCTTGTCTTGCTTCTCTTCACAATCAAACTCCTCAAATTGTTGTCTACACTTGCTGCCTTTGCTTCCTCACCCCACATGTCTTGAACGACAGATGCCTGGCCTTGCCTCTTGCACCCCTCAGAAATGATCACCCGCACTCTCCTCATGGCCGATTCCCGTGGAGTTCTACCCGCCTCTTACCTGACTTCCTGCAACCAGATGTGCCGTGAGCACACATGCATCCTGGGACATTGTCCCTCTGTGTCTCCCATGACCCCCCTGCCCATGTTTCCTTCCTTCCTTCCTCTCTTCTCCTTTGCAAGCTCCTCTTCTTTTATCAACCTGGATGACTGATGTTCCTCAATTTTCCCGCCCTGTGAGCATCCTCTTCCCTCATCAGCCTCCATACCTATCTCCTCGCTGACTGTGACCCAGTCATGACTGCCCCAGATCCTTGCCATTCTTCCCCAGAAAGTTCCTGGGCACGTCTAATGCCTCATGCCCCAAACTGGATGCACCACCTTCCCCTTTCTCTTTCAACACGTTTTCTCCTCCTGCTCTTTTCTGCAACTGGCATAGACATCACCTGCTGCACGACCTGAAATCTGTGTGTCTTTCCTTGATTCTGTCTCCCCTATCTCCATAGCTTGCCCCAAACCAATTTTATTCACTCACCCCAATTCCTCTGTGTTCCCTCCAGCCTGTCACACTCCCACCACCTCTGCTCTAATTACAGGCAGCACCGTTTCTCTTCTGGGTTGGTGTGGAACCTCCTCCCTAGCCGTGGTTACCATGGGCTGCCTTCTGGAACCCAGTGTGCCACTCCCTGCTCTTAAGTTCTCCAAAGGCTACCCAGTGCCCCCGGGATAAAGCCCAGCCTCCCTGATGTGGATTCGAAGGTTCTACTCCTTTCCTCTCCAGCCCTCACATCGGGTTCCTCCAAGTCTGAGCCTCTTTAAGCTCCTAGGAGGTCCCAGCATCCCCTCATCTCGTGGACGTCTGCTCAATCTCTGAGCTACTTCCTGTACATCTTCAGCTCCCAAGATGTCTCTTGTCCTCTGGAAAGCTCTTCCTGATCCTCCACATCAGGACTTGGCTTTCTTCCACATTGTACACTCCCTGAGGACTGGATCCACACTCTCTCTTACTCTTTTTGTTGCACTTCTAGCAGTCAGCATTGTGTCTGACACGTAGTAGGTGCTCAGTAAATATTAGTGGGATAAATAAATGAGTCATATATTTTAGAATCTGTAATGCCCAAGGTACTGTGTGCTAAGTGTTAGAGGAAAAGAATCCCAATCTAGTGACTTAAATGTCTGCACAACAGAATTACTATTGTCTTGGAAGATTTTGCCTGTGGACCTCTGGAGTTATCTAGATAAATTCTACCAGAAATCAGAGCTGAAGGGGGTGGGAAATGTTTAGAATTCCGGGAGGTGACTTGCTGCAAAGACTCCATCTCCCCTTGTCTATGGTGTGATTTTTCCCCTTATCATCCCCTTGGCATCCTGCTTTGTGGACCACTGTAATGTCAATAATTAAAAAAAAGATTAAACTGGCCGGGCGCGGTGGCTCACGCCTGTTATCTCAGCACTTTGGGAGGCCGAGGTGGGCGGATCACGAGGTCAGGAGATTGAGACCATCCTGGCTAATGCAGTGAAACCCCGTCTCTACTAAAAATACAAAAAAATTAGCCAGGAATGGTGGTGTGTGCCTGTAGTCCCAACTACTCGGGAGGCTGAGGCAGGAGAACTGCGTGAACCTGGGAGGTGGAGCTTGCAGTGAACCAAGATCACGCCACTGCAGTCCAGCCTGGGAGACAGAGCAAGGCTCCATCTCAAAAAAAAAAAAAAAGGTTAAGCTAAGAGTGATCAGGAAATAAAAGATAATATTAAAATATTCAAAAATATTCTATAAGCAAAAGAATGAGGCAACAGGTAAACATAAAATGTAGACATAGCAAAAATTCATAAGTGATTTTAATAAAGAAAAAATAGTAAAGGATAAAAGATAAAATTTTGTTTAAATTAAATGAAAAGATATTTTAAGTCTTCTTCAAAACAAAATCATAATTTTTTTTGTTAGTTTTGGGGGGATTTTTGTTTTTGTTTTTGTTTTGTTTTGTTTTTTTCTTTTTTGGAGACAAGAGTCTCGCTCTGTCACCCAGGCTGGAATGCAGTGGCGTGGTCACAGCTCACTGCAACCTCCGCCCTTCGCCTCACCTGAGTAGCTGAGACTACAGGCTCACAGCACCATGCCTGGATAACTTTTGTATTTTTAGCAGAGACATGTTTTCATCATGTTGGCCAGGCTGGTCTCCAACTCCTGACCTCAAATGATCTCCCAACCCCCTGCGCCACCACCAAAGTGCTGGGATTACAGGCGAGAGCCACCACGCCCAGCCTATAATCACTTTTAAATGTACTAAAATAGATACGAGTAAGAAAGGTAAAAGACTAAATTCAAGAATTAGGATGATAGAGGTATGCCCAAAACAAAATAAATGAAAGCATTCACAAAAAAAAGAATGTTTATCTTAAAAGGAAAGAGTAGTAAACTATTTAAGGGACTCACTTAAAAGTAGAATAAACCAACATTATGAAACCAAAGAAAAACATAATCTTTCAAAGAAGATTAGAAATAAATCCCAGCAGCAATAAAATAAAATGGGCACTCACATGTATGGGTTTCTAACAACAGCTAAACCCCAGCTAAAACAATGTTAAAGCCAGTGCTGAGGTTTCCAGCTTGTACCCCAGAAGGCCTTGGTGACCTCAGGGATGTCATAGAGGGAAAACACTGGGACATTTCCCTCCTGAGGAATGTAAGCACAGGGTCAGATAAGGGTAGAGAAGAGAGCTACACTCATCTTTGTCTGCAGAATTCGGGTGACGCGTCTTACTGTGCAAGACTTGGCACCTTGTGCATTCTGGCCCCAAATTGCATCTCCATCCGTGTGTTCTGCTATCCTTTCAGAAATGGGAAGATATGGTGGGCCCTTTAGGGCCAAGCATATCCCTGTCTTTGTTCATGGAGGCCTCTTCTCAAACAGAATCCCTATGTCCTGTTCATGAAACACTATTTGCCCCTACTATATAATTGGCATTTTTTTAAGTGTCCTATTGTGTTAGAGCTTTTCCAAGTCGCCTCTGATGTGTGGACTGACTTTCTGCTTCCTGTGTCTCTGGGAGCTTGAGGCTTCTATCCTTCTCATTAGTGGAGCTCCCTAATGACATTTTAATGCAATTATTGTCTCTTGAGTAAGCCTGAGAGCATGTACCGAGTCTTCTCTTTCTCTTTCTCTCTTTAACTCTCAGCACAGAGCTCAGACGGAACCTTGGATTGAGGAGGTTCATGAGGCCTCCTGTAGCCAGGGAATATATTTTATTTCCCTCCAGTTACCAATATGAAGGTTTCCAAACGTTCATATCATATTTTAGGCCCTAATCATTAATATTGAGAGCCCTAAGCACTCCGATTTGGGTCCATATCTAAAGGTGAGTTTTAGGGGATCTGACTGAGAAGTGTTCCGGGCCAGCTCCCTAGAAACCCTTGGGTGCACTGACTTCTTCCTGGCCAGTGTCGTCTGCTTGGTCATCAGTGTGTTCCTCCCCTCCTGAGTTCTCTCCATCTTTCTGTTCTTCTGTTTTCTTGCAGTAATCGAGGACAGGTGGTCGCTGGCACACAAGGATATTAGGAACCCATGAGGTTGTCCCTTGTAGGAGAAAAGACTGGAGAGAGGCCACTGAATCTCGTTGTGTCATTCACCCTACCTAGTCCTGCTCTGCCAGGGTCATGCTCACCTTCCAGACCCACCCAACAGTGAAGTCGGACTGAAAAATCCCAGAAGTGGGAATTGGGAGACAAGGTTGAGTGCATTAGGGGGATGTCTAGGATTCCCCCTGATTCGAATATTTTGTAGCTGTTTTGAGGGGTCCTTTTCGCATCCAGACCAGGATTTCACCTGGACAGCTGGAGTGGGAAAGAAGTGGATACATTTCAAGCTCCTAGGGCTGTAGTTAATGTGTCCTGTCATAACCACTGCAGAACAGCCAGTGTAGGTCAGAGAATGCAACCACTGGTGGCATGTATAACCCTTCACCAATAAACCGAAGTGCAGTCCCACAAACATGGGAGTCATTCAGCTACAATTAGCTTTGCTATGGACAGGAGGAATTAAAATTTAATACCGTAGCAACAGCAAAACATGATTCGTTCTACAGTGTTAGTGGGGATGGTAACACAAGGAAGGTTATGATAACCAAGTTTCTCTGAAAAGGTCAAGTGGATTTCCTCAGTGGGCTATGTTTCTGGAATATAAGGTAATGGTGAATAATAGAGGAAATCTCCCTCTAAGAATGGGAACTCTTTAATTCATCTGCATTAGTCATTCAATAAAAATAAATTAGCATACATTTTACTGGGGACCTATTTAGAGGGGTACTATGAACAGTAGCCATAAATAACTCTTGCATAGGAAGAACGTGAATTACTCTACTTTGTAAATATTAGTTTGCAAAAGTAATTGTGGTTTTGCAATTACTTTTGAGGAACGTAATTCAGTGGGAAGTAACTTGCATAATTCCAAGTTCTGAAGCAGAGGCAGCTGAAATATTTGCCATTGCAATGAAAAGGACTTTCCTCCCGGGATTCTTCCCTAGTTCCTGGACAAGGAGATTTGTTAATATTTGTAGTACACTTGAGATCTGCGACTAAAAGTGCTTTAGGAGAGAAAAGCATCACAAGAAGAAAGGGCTTTTTGTTTCTTTTTAAAATAAAATAAATGCAATTTCTTTCACCAAAAAAAAGGCGAACATTGCTAAGCATAAATGAGCACTTCCTTTTAGAAATGAATAAAGTAAAACTCAACCATTAGCAACTTCCCATAGCTAGAGCTCGCAGAGGAAAATGTTAACACATAGCATCATGTTTGAATTTTATTATTTTCATAGAGAAGAAAACCAGCAAGCAAACCCCTTCTCTTGAGAGAACAGCCTTGAAGTACTCAGAACAGAGAGCATATGTATCTATTGAAATAAAATAAAGTCACTTTTCTCCAGGAAAATACTATAGATATTTTCTCATGGAAAAAATAGACTAGACCTATGGGTCTAAATATGTAAACATAAAGAGAGATCACACTATTTATTCAAGTACTGTGCTATCTCAAGACACCCAGCCATGCTGCTAAGAAGGCGCATTATAAAGAAGCATCAAACATTCTGCAGTTTCAAAAAGTGAAACGTATATTTGCTTGAATGTTCATCTAAACACTACCCATAGGAAAATTCAAACGAAACTCCAGGGAATTTTAATCCACATGCCACATTTTCTTAGTCTTTTGCAAGATAGAGTCAGAGGATTACATTTTCTGAAAACCGCTTTTTAAAAAGCTTAAGCCCTAATCAGTTAAGTGTGACAAAGGCTTGAAATGGGATTTGGTAGCAAGTAATTAAGGATGAAGTACAAGTGGGTATATATTGACAGTGGACCCATGCTATTGTCCTGAAATTGTCAGCGGGGAGTTTATTCTTTATTTGACATTGTTTATTTGACCCAGAGCATTGCTTTGAAGATATCAATTGCTATGGAACAAACTGCTCCCAAACTTAGTGGCTTAAAAAAACAGCACCATTGTATTTGTTCTTGATTCTGTGGGCTAGGGATTTGGGTCAGCCTTGGCTTGGCGGTTTTGGTCTTCAGAGCATCCCTAGGGCCCTCTCATAAGGTTGCAGTCAGACCTGAGATGAGGTCACTCCCTTATATGGCCCCTGGGTGGATGCAGCTAGGAGGTTGAGATTCCCCCACCCCGTCTTCCTCCATATGTGGCCCCAAAGTAGGAAGTTCCTGCTGCTTTGGTCTTTGGGTGAAAAACAGGTCACGGGCCAGGCAAGATCAAGGAGGGGCAGCAGAGGGCACTTCTGGGCGAGCAGTACAGTGGCATCGCAGAAGGACAGGTGGGAGGGAAAGGGATAGGCTGCAGCAGCTGCCTTTGAAAACGCCATCGAGCAATAGTATTGCAGCCATTTATACCATAATATTTCCTACAGAGGACCTCGTTTAGTTTCCGAGATTGAGCCTCTAGTCTCGCTCTTCACACCGCTGAAGATGTGCGGTAGAGGATCTTGCTGAAACGAAAATGATTGCTGCACTCCCCTGCAAAGCTCTTTGGTTACTCCATATCACCTGCAAAATAGAATCCCGAATCTTTGCGGGGCCCGTGAGTTCTTCCCAGCCTGTGCCCTGCCTGCCAGACTCAGGTTTCCCTTGGGTCCTTGAGCACCTCGTAGCTCCCCAGAAGCCTCTTGCATTTTACAGCTCTGCACCTGATCCCAGGCCTGAGTGCACTTCCTCACGCTCACATCGTTACTTTGCTAACCCCTGAGACCTCACCTCCTCTGCAAAGGCCCCCACGGGCTGTGTCAAGGTGTCCCTCCTCTGCGTGCCCTGGCATGCTGTGCACATGGACAGCTCAGCAGCACTAACACACCCTTCCTCCCTCCCCAACTGCACTGTGAGCTCCCAAGGGCAGGCTCTGCATCTCTTTGTCTGTCTAGCCCCTAGCCCTCGGCTTGAGCAGAGAGTCCCACACATAGCAAGTGCTCAGTAAATTTTGGTGGAATGTCAGCTCAGTATAGGTAAATGACAGAGTGGAGGAGTGTCGGAGGGAAAAGACCAGAAAACCCTGTACAGGAAGAAGGCGGTGTGATCCCATGGAGAGTTGGAGCCTGGGGAGGCAGGAAGAGGAGGAACAAAGCGGTGGGCTTAGACTGCAATTGGAGGCTGAGAGCACTCTAGGTAGTCAAGAGACGCGAACAAGCATAGAAAGTAAAGCAGAAAATCTGATTCGATGTAAGAGAAATCGAGGCATGTGTCATGGTGAGGGGCTTATAGGGAAGAGGCAGTGACAAGGTAGGAGAGATGGCCCAACATCAGGACGGGCCATGGAGACCTGTCCCCATGGGGAGAGCCCTGACCTGGACTCAGAAGGCAGGGCACCCAGAATCCCACCCACGCACCTCCAGACATGCAGTAGAGCTCAGTCATAGTAGGCATGCAGTAGACCTCCCTGTCACCGAGAAGAGGAGGAGAGGCACTGGGCAAAGTGAGGTTGCTGCTTCCGGGACTCTTGGAACTGTGAGACTTACGCTCTGAAATCCTAGCTGTCACTTACTTCACTTTCGACTGAATATCTTCACTCTTGAGCCAAAGTGATTGCATGCCTTTAAAGTGAAACTGTGCGCTGGGATCTAGTTGACAAGGGACAGGGGCTATTGTTTTGTTGGGGGAGGGGAGGTGGCAGCTGAGAGCCAACCAAGGAAGCCCACCTTGAAAGAATCCATAGCCTTTTTTCAACAAAAAAACTAAAAAGTAATCACTACAGAAAATATTTTAGTGCTAAATCTTGGAAGAAAACATGATGAGTGTTCTTTTGACTCTGAGTATATAATAATTATAGCTAACATAGACTGAGCTTTTTCTGTCTACTAGTAACTGTTCTAATCACTTTGCATCCATTAACCCATTTAATCCTATTATGATCCTCATTTTTCAGATAAGAAAAGTGAGGTTAAATAGCTTGTTTAAAGCCACAGAGCTACCATACAGCAGAACTGGAATTTGAACTCAAGCAGTTTGATGCCATGATCTGTGTTCTTAATACTCCATGTAGCAAAGCCTGATTTTGGGACTATACCTTATCTACTGACTTATGTTTAAAAATACTACCTGACATTGGAGTTAATTCTGAGAAGTGGGTTTTGAGACTTCCTTCTCCCTTTATATCTCAATTACTGTTTGGGGCTATTTCCTTGTTTTGCTGTCCAATGTATTACTTATGTTAGTAATGGAGAGAACACTCACTCTGGTTGAGCATAATCATCAAGCCGGGAGCTCTGCTAAGATCCAGTCGGCTTGGCTGGGTTCTTCTCCAGGCATTCTCTGCTGGGCCCTGAAGCGTGCGTCTCTCTGCTGAAGCATGTGAACATTCCTCCTGGTGTTTAGAGAGATTTGGAAAAGGCTGAAAAACCGCATGGAACTCCGGAAGTTGTTGTCTTTTCAGGGAAAACTTGTGAGGGAGACAGGAGATGGCCACAGTGGTTTTCTTTGGGGTCCAGCACTGACCGGGGCATTTATGAGGCTGCCCTGCAGGAGAACCACACAGATGAGTTCATAGACAAGCCTGAGTGGGCTTCTCCTTCGTTCTTCCTTACCCACGAGCGTCCACCTCAATCCCTCTCTCTTTCCTTTCCGGTATCTCCAGATGCCAGGTCCGTGGCTCAATGTATTTCCTTCCTACCAGCATTATTTTGAACTGACAATGTTGTAAATTTTAAACTATATTTTAAGTAAACCTTAAAAGCTTATTTTAGAATCCTAATCTGCTTTTTCAGACTTTTATTCACCTCAGATCTCCAACTCCCTTTACTTTTTGCTTGAACTCTCCTCCCTTCTTCCTGCTTTCCTCAACTCTTTCATGCTGTGTTTAATAACATGCTAAACACATTAAAAACAGCAAGTTCTATCATATCAACATACATGCCCACACCCACACACATACGTACTGACGACTGTCACTTGCAAAGAGCTGTTAAGAAGAAAGTTTGTTTAATTAAAAACCAGCGAGAATGGTGGCCAGATTAACATTCTTGAGTCATAACTTGGAGGTTTGAACTTCAACTTTATGGAGCCGTTCTGAGAATTTAAAAAAGTAATCTATTCTGTCATACTGTGAGATCTACATAAATTATTTTTTGGCATAGGCCTTTGTAACTTTTTAATTGACTTTTGAGTCAGTGTGTTTCTGTGTATGTAAATCAATTGTAGGTTCACGTCAAATTTCTGATTGTCTCAGATATGTATTGTTTAGTAATATTTGACAGGGTCCTGAAGCACAAGATTCCAAAAAGTTCAAAAAGATACCCTTATTCAAGGAAACATTTCTTTTTTTCTTGTTTCTTTTTTTTTTTTTTTTTTTTTTTTTTTGAGACAGGGTCTCACTCTGGTGGTCCAGGCTGGAGTACAGCACAATCTCAGCTCAATGTAGGCTGCACCTCCCAGGCTCAGGTGATCCTCCCACCTCAGCCTCCTGAGTAGCTAGGATTACAGGTGCACACCACCACACCCAGCTAACTTTTTGTATTTTTAGTAGAGACACAGTTTCGCTGTGTTGCCCAGGCTAGCCTCAAACCCTTGGACTCAAGCAATCTGCCTGTCTTGGCCTCCCAGAGTGCTGGGATTACAGGTATGAGCACCCAGCCTCAAGGAAGAATTTTTTAGTCAGCAATTTGAAAAGAATAAATTTTTTTTTTTTTTTGAAATGGAGTCTCCCTCTGTCGCCCAGGCTGGAGTGCAGTGGTGCAATCTCGGCTCACTGCAAACTCCACCTCCCAGGCTTATGCCGTTCTCCTGCCTCAGCCTCCTGAGTAGCTGGGTCTACAGGTGCCCACCACCACGCCTGGCTAATTTTTTGTATTTTTAGTGAAGATGGGGTTTCACTGTGTTAGCCAGGATGGTCTTGATGTCCTGACCTCGTGATCCACCCGCCTCGGCCTCCCAAAGCGCTGGGATTACAGACATGAGACACCGCGCCTGGCCTCAAAAGAATAATTTTTAAAATTTCAAGAAACCTATACTTTGTTTTGGCTTGGTTTCTAAAATAGAAAATAAAATGGATTATTTATATTTGACCAAATAGACACATTTTCAGAGGCTGAACAATTCACTGAGTATGTAAGCATTAGGCCTGAAAATGAATACGGAGAAAAATTAGAATAGCCACGAAGTGCAGCATATCCGTGAAACACTATCTCAGGGGCGGAGACAAAGTCGCCACACTTTCTACGGGTTCATTTTGTCCTGATGGTTCCATGATGCGCTGCCTCCCAGCCAGTGTTTGCAGAAGGTTTTTAGATTCAGTCATGGAGGGGAAGAAGAAGCTGTGAAAACCAAAAACAGCACAGAGGGGTTTCTTTCTCCTTCCAGTAGGCTTCCCAGCAAATCAAGGATGACTGCCTGTAGCACGCCGCTCCTCACCTAGTCTCAAAATACTCCAGAAAGTTCTCCCTACACCTTATTCTATCCAGCACCTGAAATGCTGTCAGCTAGGATCTTAGGGGACACAGATCCTCTTAAAAATGCAAGCACTGCTGAGATTCCCTTCACCCATTAGGGTGGCTTAGGCAGTAACAAAGAGAAAATGGATATTTTCAAGGAGAAGGGGAAAGCTGGGTTTTATTCAGTCACTAAATGTTGACTGATCAAACACCTAACATGTCAGGGCTTTTTCTGGGCGTTTAAAATACAGGGGAGAAGAGAAGGAGAAAGGTACTGACCCTCGTCAAGCCTATGCCTACTTTTTTTTGGAGTAGAAAGACAATAGCTAAGTAAATAACACACAAATAAGGTAAAGTCAGGCACCTCAAATACAGTGACTTGACCACTACACATTCTGTGTACGTAACGAAATACCACATGTGCCCCATAAATATGCAAAATATGATGTATCAATAAAAACAAACACACACACACAAAACTCAAAGAACAATAAAACAAAGACGGTGAAGAGGTAAAGAGAATTTCTAGAACCTGGCCTGTTTTTAGATTATTAAATGTTTCCTTTTTTGATGGAGAGTGAAGAAAAATATCTGATATTGTACTTGCTGCCACAAAATCATGGTTAACAGAAAAAGATACAGGCCAGGCACGGTGGCTCACACCTGTAATCTCAGCACTTTGGGAGGCCGAGGCAGGCAGATCACCTGAGGTCAGGAGTTCGAGACCATCCTGGCCAACTTGGCGAAATCCCATCTCTACTAAAAATATAAAAATTAGCTGGGTGTGGTGGTGGATGCCTGTAGTCCCAGCTACTCAGGAGGCTGAGGCAGGAGAATCTCTTGAACCCAGGAGGTGGAAATTGCAGTGAGCCGAAACTGCCACTGCACTCCAGCCTGGGTGGCAGAGCGAGACTATCTCAAAAGAAAAAAAATTACAAAGGAGTCACTAGATGATCTAGAAAAAGGCATGTCCCTCCTTCCCTGGCCCAAACAATGCACAGCTCTTATCTGCCCCAGTCCTCAAGGGCTGGGACCAGGGCTCTTTTATTACCCAGAAGTTCCTTTGCCAGTTCTTTTCCTGGCACCTAGTTGGTGACTAATGAATATTTCTTCCTAGTGAGCGTAGTATAAGGTATCTGACTGTGGTCATTTATGTTCCTAATGAGGATACGTAACTTTTCTTTTTAAACCTTAACTTTTTATTGCCTATTGCTGAAATGTTAGCAGATAGGCCAATGAGTAGAAAGAACCCCAAGAATTGCCTGATTAATTCCCACTCATGCAGCCCAGGCCCAAGCTCTCACCTTCTGCCCTGCTTTTAACGGCAGCACATGTCACCGCTGACGGGACCTGCCTCTCTGCGCGTGACCATGCACTTGGGACTCTCTAAATGTCTCACCGGAGAATCAATAGCCCTAGTTCAGCTCTGAATGAAGTTTCTCGTCGCCCCCTTCTCTTACACCCTAAGGATAAAGACTGTCTCTGAGAATTTTCCCCAAATCTTCCTAACATAGAGATAAAAATAGTAAAATAAGAAATTAGACCCCTCAACTTCAACTTTAAAATCTTATTTCTCTTCCTGCATCACGGTGACCACCTCCTCACAAGTGCAAGAATAGATGACGATATTCCAGCATGCTGTGATTCTCCTAAAAACCTGCTGCTCCTAGGGACTCTGTGGAGTGAGTTTCCTGGACCGAAGTCACTTCTCAGATCTTCATGTTACACCCATGATGTTTGCTTGCTAAACCATCAGCTTAAGTTATTTATCCTGTATCTTTTATCTCAGTTTTCTGGTTGCATTTTATCTGTGTCATCTTTACTTTAGTCAAGCTAACGCTGTGGTTTTGCAAATTAAATCAGCTGTGGGTTTCAGTATGTAACTCCTCTTTGTGTTTACTAAGCCTTTTTTAAAAAAAACAAAATAGTACTGTATGTCTGTTTACATCTTTAGTAGTGTGTAAGGGAAGATTGTTTTCTTTAGAGTTCTTTTGAACAATTTCAAGGCTATTCAGAAGGATCCATTTTAAGAAACCAAAACATCTTTTTAAAATGCCTTGTTTAATATATATCTTTAGCCATAATGGAATCCCCTTAAAATTTTGAAGTTGATCTGTAATAAAGAGGTTGTGTGGGTCATGAGTCTGGACTTTATAGTTCAGACAAAGAGAATCTGCTTCATGTTTCAAAGCAAGGAAGAGATTTTTTTAAAAGACAGCTCACATGGCCCGTGTAGGGGTGGAAAAGGCAGCGTGAAAGAGCAAGGGGATAAGTAATTAAACATCTATTGGAATCATGAAATTATTAAGAGAAAATGTCTGAAGTTCCAGAGCTAAAAGACTGAAGAGCAGTGATGAAATGCAACAAAAATAACCAGAAAAATCCATGGGACTTGTTGCGTAGATGGTTGGAGGAGATGAAGATGAAGGAGAACTCAGCTGGTTCCAATATTTCTAGCTTGGAAGACTCAGTAAGTGGTAATTCCATTGATCAAGACAGGACAGAGAGGAGAGGTACAGACACTGGAAAAAGTAGAATTCATGTTTGTTTCAGTTGTGTTTGAGGGGCTGGTGGAACATCACCTGGAAAGGTCCAATATGGAGTTGAATACAGGGGACCGAAGAAAGTGAATGTATAGTTCAAGAAAGATATTCTTTTTGAGGCTACTACTAGGTAGAGGGTCATAGGAGCCATCAAAATAGATGAGATTGACCAGAAATGTTGGTTTAAAAAAAAGGGGGAGGAAAGTCAAAATGTATTCCAAAATAGTTAGGTAAAGAAGTGAAACCAACAGAATAAGCTGAAGAGTGAGCTGAGAGGGAAGGAGAGCAGGAGAGAAGAAGGGAGTCGACAGTGTCCTGTGCAGTGTCAAGGAGGAAGACCAAGAAATTGAATTAAAATACAATTGATAGTACAGAGTTACATTTGGTATAGAGAAAGGTCTCTGGAACAAAAGGAAGAAGGTCTCTGGTTGAGGAGGAAGACCATTTCCAGCCGCAGGGTCTGGAAATGACCAAGTCATCAGCGCTCTTGCAGGGAGCAAGATAGATCCACAGAGTGCTGGCTGGAGGAATCCATATGGCAGAGGGCAGAGAAGCGAATGGAAGGGGAGGAAGCAAAGATGGTTCAGGAAGCTGGTTGGTGAAGGAAGGGAGGTAAGGCCATAGCAGCGGGAGAAGCCACGGCAGAAGTTGTTAGAGGTTGCAAAACCGGAGGGTGTTTATAAGCGGGAGTGGGAGACAGGCAGAAATCACAAGAATGGCAAGGGGTTAAAGAAAAGAACAATTCCAAGAGTGTGTACAGGGTTAGGATCATGTATGCATGAGGCATTCAGGGAAGAACTAGATGGAGACTGGGATAAGTTGAACCAGAGCGAAGGAAGTTGAGCCATTTATGTCTTGCGGCTTCCAGTTTTTCCTTAAAATTAACAAGCTCATCTGCCGAGGTGGAGAAGGCAGAGTCATGGTTTTGGAGACATAAGGGGAACAAGTGTGGGACAGCCCGTTTAGGAAATTGGAAAATAAACAGGCCAGGAATAAGATCAAAAATAAAGCCAAGATTGTTGGCAAATTCAGCAATAAATCAAATGCTTACATAATTCATTGTTTTTTATTGTAGTGAAAATAAACATAAAATTTACAATTTTAACCACTTTAAGTGTAAAGTGCAGTGGCATTAATTAGATTCATGACTGTTTCCAGAACGTTTTCATGACCCAAGCAGAAGCTCTGTACCCAGTAAGCAGTAACTCTCCATTTCCCTCTCCTTTCAGTCCCAGGCCACCCCCTTCTACTCTTTGTCTCTATGAATTTGCCTCTTCCAGGTAGCTCATATTAAGTGTTGCTTTTTTTTTTTTTTTTTTTTTCCCAAGACAGGGTCTTGCTTTGTTGCTCAGGCTGGAGTGCAGTGGTGCAATTACAGCTCACTGTAGCCTCTAACTCCTGGGCTCAAACATTCCTCCCACCTTACCCTCTTGAGTAGCTAGGACTACAAGCGTATGCCACTGCACCCAGCTGGTTTCTTAAATTTTTTGTAGAGATGTGAGTTTTGCTATGTTGCCCAGGCTGGTCTCTAACCCCTGGCCTCAAGTGATCCTCCTATCTCAGCCTCCCAAAGTGCTGGGATTACAGGCATGAGCCCTCATGCTAACCTATTTGTTGCTTTTAAAGCATTAATCATGGGATAAGAAAAAGGAATAAGTTATTCTTCTGCTGTATAACACTCTGTAAATGAAGAGGTCATTCCTAAACCATATCCTGGTTTTGTTGTTGTTGTTGTTTGTTGGTTTTTTGAGGCAGAGTCTCGCTCTGTTACCCAGGCTTCAGTGCAGTGGCACGATCTCAGCTCACTGCAACCTCTGCCTCCCGGTTTCAAGCGATTCTCCTGCATCAGCTTCCCCAGTAGTTGAGATTACAGGCATCCACCACCACCCCAGCTAATTTTTGTTTTTTTAGTAGAGACGTGGTTTTGCCATGTTAGTTAGGCTAGACTTGAACTCCTGATCTCAAGTGATCTGCCCACCTTTGCCTCCCAAAGTTCTGGGATTACAGATGTGAGCTACCGTGCCCACCTGGCCCATACCCTGTTTTTTTTTAAATCCACCATGTGGTATCCATTTATAAAACCTTATTATTAATACAATGCTATGAAATTGATATAATGCTTTACCCTTAAAGTGATTCAAATCAGCTGAAGCTTTGAACCTCTCTAAATCCTACTTTGAATTAAATATTTTCTTTATCATACGCATACACAACAATGAATGTCTTTTTTCCCCCATCCAAATGATAGCACAGAATTGTGAATCTGTTTCTGTTTAGTGTTCTCTTCCAGAGGATTGCATTATTCACTGAATGTCTGTTGTCTGAAATAGAAGTTCCCACAGTAGTTTGTGTACGCATCATTTAGGAAGATAAGTGGTTTTTCCTGTTATGTATACAAATAACCAGTCTGTGTTAATGTCTATTATGGGTGACATGAACAGATCCTTCTCGAGGAGGTTTACATGTGTCACTATAGCATTAGATCTTTTTTTTTTTTAACTTTTATTTTAGATACAGGGAGTATATTACATGATACTGAGGTTTAGGGTGCGATTGATCCCATCACCCAGGAACTGAGCATAGTACCCAATAGTTAGTTTTTCAACCCTAGACCCCCCCCCTCCCACCTTTACTTGTCCCCAGTATCTATCGTTGCCATCTTTATGTCCATGAGTACCCAATATTTAGCTCCCACTTCTAAGTGAGAATATGCATTATTTGATTATCTGTTCCTGCATTCACCACTTAGGATCATAGCCTCTAGCTGCAATCATGTTGCTGCAAAGGACATGATTCCATTCTTTTTTGTGGCTGTATAGTGTTCCATGGTGTCTATGTACTACATTTTCCTTATGAGCATCTAGGTTGACTCCATGTCTTTGCTGTTGTTAATGGTGTTGCCACGAACATAGATATGCGTGTGTCTTTTTGGTAGGGTGATTTATTTTCTTTTGGATATATACCCAGTGATGGAATTGCAGGTTCAAATGGTAGTTCTGTTTTAGATTCTTTGTAGACTTAGTAATTTTTAATGGAAATGAATTATCTTCCCAATGAAAGTAAATTCTAATAAAAGACTTATTGAAAGAAATGTCTGATATTGGGATCATTTTCCTAACACAATTTCCATTTTCATTTTCTGTAAAGCCCCCACAAGAGTTGACAGAGTTCCTGAGGTGGCGATGAGTGAGCCGTGCCTCTTTCTACAGTGGATGTAGTGGATGTGGCTTACAGATGCCTTTTACATTTCCAGCTGTAGACAGAAAATGCCAGAGGCCACAGCATTTCCCCAGGCCCTGAAACTAAGCTAACACCCTCTAAATATTGCCAAATCAAAGTAATAGAAAGGAAAACTGTTCTCATATTGTCTCACTTCCCCAAACATATCTCCCCTAATTCAGTTCCAACCACACTTTAATTCCCAGTTTGGACCCCCATTTTTCTCCTGAAACTACTGCTGGAGAGTTCTCTCTCTTCGGAGTTGCAGTTCCTTCTGCAACGTTGCATGGACTTTGGTACCAACTGGCCTTGGTTGCTTTGTATATGAGTCCTGTATCCCAAGGAGACTATAATCTTCCTGACGGTCGTGGGTTTCAATTCCTAGAATCACGAAATAGCAGCACTTTACAGATGAGAACATTAGACCCAGAGAGGTAAAGTAACTTGCCTAAGGTCACACAGCTGAATTCAGCAAACAGGTGAATTAGTCTTTCTTCCCTACTTGAACTACTACTTGAATGAGTGCTCCGAGACTTGATGTCTGCGACACTCTGTTTTTTTTTACTGTTTCCACTGCACTTTTTTGTTCTAGAGACCTTTCTCCATACCAAATATAATTCTGTACTATCAATTATATTTTAATGTATAAAATTATAGTCACATTTCAGGTCCTGCCTCCCAGGGATAACCTTGACTAAAGTTTTAGGTGCTCAGAAATAATTTAGTGACACATTTATAGATTTTAAAGTTTGGTAAGAAATTTGGAAGTAACTGCCAAAGTTGAAGATATGTGCATACCGCAACTTTGTAGGTCTATTGCTTTGCATGTATTCTATCGAAACTCTCAAATATGTTCCCAAGGAGGTATCTACAAGGATGTTCACAGCAGCATGAGTTATAAGAAAGTGGAGGAGAAGGAGGAGGAAGGAAGAAGAAGGAAAAAAAGGAAAAGATGAAACATCAATAGAAGAAAAGATGGATAGCATATTTCTTTCTTCTTCTTCTTCTTTTGTTTGTTTGTTTTTTTTTTTTTTTTTTTTTTTTTTTTGAGACAGGGTCTTGCTCTGTCACCCAGGCTGGAGTGCAGTGGCACTATCTCGGCTCTCTGCAACCTCCACCTCCAGGGCTCAGGTGATCCTCCCACCTCAGCCTCCTGAGTACCTGGGGCCACAGGAACACACTACCATGCCCAGCTAATTTTTGTATTTTTAGTAGAGGCAGGATTTTGCTATGTTGCCCAGGCTGGTCTCAAAGTCCTGAGCTCAAGCGATCTGCCTGCCTCGTATGTCTATTCCGATGGAATCTGCAGCAGTGGTTCTCAAAGTGTGGTCCAGGAGATCATTAAAACCTTTTCAGGGAGTTTGCAAAGTCAAAACTGATTTCACAGTATTACTGAGGTCTATTTTTCCTTTTCACTCTCATTCTGTACCTTGAAGTTTTCCAGAGACTGCATGTTCTGATAGCCACAGGCTAAACGCAGAAACTGTCTTCTATTAAACCAGACATTAAAGAGATCACAAAAGTGTCAAACAGTGCCACTTTTTTTCAATGTTTTTTGCTTTGAAAAACATAATTATTTATCATAAAATATGTTGTCTTCACGTATTACATGATAGGTTTTCATTATTTTTAATTAAAAAAAAATTTTAATTTTTCTCCTTCTTATTTTCTGATGTGGTAAATATTGACAGATATAATCCCTATAAACCAAAGCTCTTTGTTTTTCTCACAATTTTTAAGAGAATAAAATAATTCTTAGAGTAAAAAGTTTGGTTGGGTGCAGCGACTCACACCTGTGATCCCAGCACTTTGGGAGGCCAAGGCAGGAGGATCACTTGAGGTCAGGAGTTTGAGACTGGCCTGAGCAACCTAGTGAGACCCTGTGTCTACAAAAAATAAAAAAGAAACTAGCTGGGTGTGGTGGTGCATGCCTGCAGTGTAACTAGTTGGGACACTGAAGGGGAGGATCACTTGAACCCAAGAGGTGGAGGCCGCAGTGAGCTGTGATTACACCACTGCACTCCAGCCTGGGCAACAGAGCAAGACTCTGTCTAGAAAGACAAAAAAAAAAAAAAAAGACTAACAGGTTTGAGCCCTGCTGTTGCAGACAGTGAGAATGAATGAATGGAGACTGCACGCACTGAGCCTGAATCTTGGAGGCACGATCACTGGAGTTGCAGGAGAATATAAACAGTGATTTATATTGTGTTTTATAACTAGTAAAACATGCTGTATGCAGAATACATGTTTTTAGGAATATACAGGTATATAAAACATGTATAAAAAGTTATTTTTATATTTGTGTATATCTGAAACACTTTATAATACACTTGAAAAACTATAAATAGCTATATAAGCTCAACAACCACAAAAAAAATTAGAAAATGAACAAAAGACTTGAGTAGACATTTCCTCAAAGAAGATATACAGATAGCCAACAAGCATATGAAAAAAAGTTCACTATCAGTGATCATTAGAGAAATGCAAATCAAAACCACAATGAGATACAGTCTCACACCAGTCCGAATGGCTATTACTGAAAAGCCAAAGAATAACAGATGCTGGCAAGGTTGTGGAGAAAATGGAATGCTTATACACTGTTGGTAGGAGTGTAAACCAGTTCAACCATTGTGGAAAGCAGTATGGTGATTCCTCAAAGAGCTAAAAACAGAGCTACCATTCGACCCAGGAATCCCATTACTGGGTACATAACCGAAGGAATAGAAATCGTTCTATCATAAAGACACACGCACGTGTGTGTTCACTGCAGCACTATTTGCAATAGCAAAGACATGGAATCAACCTAAATGTCCATCAGTGGTAGATAGATAAAGAAAATGTGGGCTGGGCGTGGTGGCTCACACCTGTAATCCCAGCACTTTGGGAGGCCGAGGCAGGCGGATCACAAGGTCAGGAGATCGAGACCATCCTGGTTAACATGGTGAAACCCCGTCTCTACTAAAAATACAAAATATTAGCCGGGTGTGGTGGCAGGCACCTGTAGTCCCAGCTACTCAGGAGGCTGAGGCAGGAGAATGGCATGAACCCAGGAGGCGGAGCTTGCAGTGAGCTGAGATGGTGCACTCCAGGCACTCCAGCCTGGGTGACAGAGTGAGACTCCATCTCAAAAAAAAAAAAAGAAAAAAAAAAGAAAATGTGGTACATATGCACCATGGAATACTATGCAGACACAAAAATGCATGAGACCAGGACTTTTGCAGAAACGTGGATGGAGCTGGAGGCCATTATCCTTAGCAAACTAACACAGAAACAGAAAACCAAATGTGGCATGTTCTCACTTATAAGTGGGAGCTAAATTATGAGAACACATGGACTCAAAGAGGGGAACAACACACACTGGGGCCTGTCAGAGGGTGGAGGGTGACAGTAGAGAGAAGATCAGAAAAAAATAACTATTAGGTACCAGGCTTAGTACCTGGGTGATGAAATAATCTGTACAACAAACCCCCGTGGCACAAGTTTACCTGTATAACAAACCTGCAGGCGTACCCCTGAACCTAAAATAAACATTTAAAAAAAAGAGAAGATGCTCAACATTACTTACCATTAGCAAATACAAATTATAATCCCATTAGAGAAGTGCAAATCAAAGGAGATATTGCCTTGAACCCATTAGGATGGCTAGATCAAAAAACAAAAAATAACAAGTGTTGGTGAAGACGTGGAGAGTTGGAGCCTTTTTGCACTTTTGCTGGGAATGTAAAATGGTATAGCTGCTATGGGAATCAGTACGGTGGTTCCTCAAAAACTTAGAATGACTGCATGATCCAGCAATTCTACCCTGAGTATATATTCAAAGGAATTGAAAGCAGGGTCTTGAAGAGATATTTACACACCCACATCGATTAGCAGCAGGATTCTCAATAGCCAAGAGGTGGAGACGACCCACATATCCATCAACAGATGAATGGATGAACAAAATATGCTACAAACATGCAATGGAGGCTGGGCACAGTGGTTCATGCCCATAATCCCAGCACTTTGGGAGGCTGAGGCAGGCTGATCACTTGAGGCCAGGAGTTTGAGACCAGCCTGGCCAACATGGCAAAATCCCATCTTTACTAAACATATAAAAATTAGCCGGGCATGGTGGCATGTGCCTGTAATCCCAGCTACTCAGGTGGCGGAGGCATGAGAATAGTTTGAATCTGGGAGGTGGAGGCTGCAGTGAGCCAAGGTCATACCGCTGCACTCCAGGCTGGGCGGCAGAGTGAGACTCCATCTCAGAAAAAAAAGTGCAATGGGATATTAGACTATTAGCCTTAAAAAGGAAATAAATTCCTTCACATGCTGTCATGTGGATGAACTTTGAGGAAATTATGTTAGGTGAAATAAGCCAGATACAAAAGAACAGATATTGCCCGTTCTACCTATGAGAAGTATCTCAAGTAGTCAAATTCACAGAAACGGGAAGTAGAACGGAGATTGCAGGGCTTGTGGAAAGGGAGAATGGGGAGTTATTGTTTAATGGGTGCAGAATTTCAGACTTGCAAGATGTAAAAGTTCTGGAGATGAATGCCCAACAATGTGAATATACAGAACACTGCTGAACTATACATTGAAAATGATTAAGATGGTGAATTTCAGCCGGGCGCGGTGGCTCACGCCTGTAATCCCAGCACTTTGGGAGGCCGAGGTGGCCAGATTACCAGAGGTCAGGAGTTTGAGACCAGCCTGGCCAACATGGGGAGAGCGCTGTCTCTACTAAAAATACAAAAATTAGCCGGGCATGGTGGCAAACACCTGTAATCTCAGCTACTCGGGAGGCTGAGGCGGGAGAATTTCTTGAGCCTGGGAGGTGGAGATTGCAGTGAGCCAAGATCATGCCATTGCACTCCAGCCTAGCCTGGCAGACAGAGTGAGACTCTGTCTCAAAAAAAAAAAAAAAAAAAGATGAATTTTATGTTATGTGCTTTTTACCATGATAAGAAAAGCTACATAATTGCAGTTTTTGTCATTACTTTTAATGGCAAAAATTGCAATTACTTTTGTACCAACCTAGTAATCGCTATGACAAACCTTTGTATGATGGGGGAATTTTCTGATTCCCTGCCCTCACTCCAGTTATCATAAAAATAAGTCGACTGTTTCTGAATTTCCCAAGTGAGTATCTTGCCCAGACTTCTTGCTTTAGTCCAGTCTTTGATGTTGGCTCATATGAAGCATTCTGCCCTTCCAGAATATCCCGTACTTCCTCCCTATCTACATAAATTCTACCCAAGGGAACTCTAATGAATCCCATTGCAGCATGCCCAACTCCATACTGCTTTCTCCATGATACAGTCAGAAGCCAACCCAGGGCACTTGGATTCCTCTTGCCTTAAGGACCCAGGACACTTATTTTGTGTACAACTAGATGTTCATTACTTATATGGCCCCATGTACTGCTTCTTAAGTTTTCAGAGCTGTTCCATCGCTCCCATTAGAATGTAAGCCCTTGGAAAACAGAGGTCCTAATAACACAACATGGCTTATACGTGCCTGCCTCAGAGCTTTGGCATATGGCTGTCACACAATAAGACTGGTGAATGAATGGATAAATGGATCATGGATGGATCAATGTGGTCTTTCACTGTAGCTGAGCTGGATGCATTAAGAATTAAGTATAACATCTTCTTTTTTTATTTTATTATTATTATACTTTAAGTTTTAGGGTACATGTGCACCATGTGCAGTTTGTTACATATGTATACGTGTGCCATGTTGGTGTGCTGCACCCATTAACTGGTCATTTAGCATTAGTTATATCTCCTAAAGCTATCCCTCCCCCCTCCCCCCACCCCACAACAGTCCCCAGAGTGTGATGTTCCCCTTCCTATGTCCATGTGTTCTCATTGTTCAATTCCCACCTATGAGTGAGAACATGCAGTGTTTGGTTTTTTGTTCTTGCCATAGTTTACTGAGAATGATGATTTCCAATTTCATCCATGTCCCTACAAAGGACATGAACTCATCATTTTTTATGGCTGCATAGTATTCCATGGTGTATATGTGCCACATTTTCTTAATCCAGTCTATCATTGTTGGACATTTGGGTTGGTTCCAAGTCTTTGCTATTGTGAATAGTGCCACAATAAACATATGTGTGCATGTGTCTTTATAGCAGCATGATTTATAGTCCTTTGGGTATATACCCAGTAATGGGATGGCTGGGTCAAATGGTATTTCTAGTTCTAGATCCCTGAGAAATCGCCACACTGACTTCCACAATGGTTGAACTAGTTGACAGTCCCACCAACAGTGTAAAAGTGTTCCTATTTCTCCACATCCTCTCCAGCACCTGTTGTTTCCTGACCTTTTAATGATTGCCATTCTAACTGGTGTGAGATGGTATCTCATTGTGGTTTTGATTTGCATTTCTCTGATGGCCAGTGATGATGAGCATTTTTTCATGTGTCTTTTGGCTGCATAAATGTCTTCTTTTGAGAAGTGTCTGCTCATATCCTTCACCCACTTTTTGATGGGGTTGTTTGTTTTTTTCTTGTAAATTTGTTTGAGTTCATTGTAGATTCTGGATATTAGCCCTTTGTCAGATGAGTAGGTTGCGAAAATTTTCTCCCATTTTGTAGGTTGCCTGTTCACTCTGATGGTAGTTTCTTTTGCTGTGCAGAAGCTCTTTAGTTGAATTAGATCCCATTTGTCAATTTTGGCTTTTGTTGCCATTGCTTTTGGTGTTTTAGACATGAAGTCCTTGCCCATGCCTATGTCCTGAATGGTAATGCCTAGGTTTTCTTCTAGGGTTTTTATGGTTTTAGGTCTAACGTTGAAGTCTTTAATCCATCTTGAATTAATTTTTGTATAAGGTGTAAGGAAGGGATCCAGTTTCAGCTTTCTACATATGGCTAGCCAGTTTTCCCAGCACCATTTATTAAATAGGGAATCCTTTCCTCATTGCTTGTTTTTCTCAGGTTTGTCAAAGATCAGATAGTTGTAGATATGTGGCCTTATTTCTGAGGGCTCTGTTCTGTTCCATTGATCTATATCTCTGTTTTGGTACCAGTACCATGCTGTTTTGGTTACTGTAGCCTGTAGTATAGTTTGAAGTCAGGTAGTGTGATGCCTCCAGCTTTGTTCTTTTGGCTTAGGATTGACTTGGCGATGCGGGCTCTTTTTTGGTTCCATATGAACTTTAAAGTAGTTTTTTCCAATTCTGTGAAGAAAGTCATTGGTAGCTTGATGGGGATGGCATTGAATCTATAAATTACCTTGGGCAGTATGGCCATTTTCACGATATTGATTCTTCCTACCCATGAGCATGGAATGTTCGTCCATTTGTTTGTATCCTCTTTTATTTCATTGAGCAGTGGTTTGTAGTCCTCCTTGAAGAGGTCCTTCACGTCCCTTGTAAGTTGGATTCCCACAAAAATCCTCAATAAAATACTGGCAAACCGAATCCAGCAGCACATCAAAAAGCTTATCCACCATGATCAAGTGGGCTTCATCCCTGGGATGCAAGGCTGGTTCAATATACGCAAATCAATAAATGTAATCCAGCGTATAAACAGAACCAAAGACAAAAACCACATGATTATCTCAATAGATTCAGAAAAGGCCTTTGACAAAATTCAACAACGCTTCATGCTAAAAACTCTCAATAAATTAGGTATTGATGGGACGTATCTCAAAATAATAAGAGCTATCTATGACAGACCCACAGCCAATATCATACAGAATGGGCAAAAACTGGAAGCATTCCCTTTGAAAACTGGCACAAGACAGGGATGCCCTCTCTCACCACTCCTATTCAACATAGTGTTGGAAGTTCTGGCCAGGGCAATTAGGCAGGAGAAGGAAATAAAGGGTATTCAATTAGGAAAAGAGGAAGTCAAATTGTCCCTGTTTGCAGACGACATGACTGTATATCTAGAAAACTCCATCGTCTCAGCCCAAAATCTCCTTAAGCTGGTAAGCAACTTCAGCAAAGTCTCAGGATACGAAATCAATGTACAAAAATCACAAGCATTCTTATACACCAATACCAGACAGAGAGCCAAATCATGAGTGAACTCCCATTCACAATTGCTTCAAAGAGAGTAAAATACCTAAGTATAACACCTTCTTTGAACTAATGTAGCTTCCACATGGCTAAGCTTTGTGTATATTCCTTGCACCACGCTGAAATTTCCTTTCCTCTGCAACCTCATCTTGCTCTACCCCAAGGGGCACTTCTACTGTAAACCTGGATGGTGTGTGGAGTGAGGCAGTCCTGACTCCCCTACCCTAATCCCACTGGCACCCCATTTTACTGCCCTTTTTGTTTTAAGACGCTTACTATTAATTGATACACAAAAACAGGAGGCAGGTAACAAAAATAATAAACATCAGGGCCTGTACACCATCATGAGTAACACCTAACATTTGCAGTTAGATATCTCTGAGCTCAGTTCCCCACCATCCCACTTACTAGCTGTAGGTCCTCGGACAATTCACTTGAACTCTTTCTTTTGTTGTTGTGCTAGAATACGCGTAACACAAAATTTACCATGTGAACCTTTTTTTTTTCTCGTTTTCCTGAGATGGAGTTTTGCTATGTCCCCCAGGCTGGAGTGCAGTGGCACAATCTCAGCTCACTGCAACCTCCACCTCCTGGGTTCAAGCGATTCTCCCCGCCTCAGCCTCCCGAATAGCTGGGATTACAGGCACACACCACCACACCTGGCTAATTTTTGTATTTTTAGTAGTTTCACCATGTTTGCCAGGCTGGTCTCGAACTCCTCACCTTGTGATCTGCCTGCCTCAGCCTCCCAAAGTGCTGGGATTGCAGGCATGAGCCACCGTGCCTGGCCTGAACCAATTTGAAGTGTACGGTTCAGGGACATGAGAACATTCACAGTATTATGCAACCATCGCCACCACGCATCTCCAGAACCTTTTCATCATCCCAAACTGAGACTCTGTCCCCATCAAGCATGAATTCCCCATTTCCCCCCTTCCAAGTTCCCGGGAGCCACAATTCTACCCTCAGTGTCTGTGAATGTGACTCCTCTAGGGACTCATTTCAGTGGAACTGTTTAACATTTGTCCCTTGGTGTCTGGCTTCTTTCACCGAGCATAATGTCCCCAAGTTTCCTCCATGTTGTAGCAGGTGTCACCACGTCCTTCCTTTTTCAGCCTCAAGAATATTCCAGTTTAACCTTTGAAAGCCTCCATTGCCTCTTCTGTAAAATCGGATCAGTAGGCCATTTTTCAAAGGTTGTTGTGAGGATTTAATAAAATCAGGTAAAGCAACAGACAGCGCCCAGTGCAGTGCTTTGAGCCATGATAAAAATTAATTTAGCCTCCTTCTCTTCCCTTTCTAAATGATAAGTTACATGAAGACCAGGTGCAAGAAAAATGCCTTTCTCATGTCCGTGGTTCCTGAAGTCACACATTTGTGAGTGCTCAGTAATTAATATTATTTTTAACTGAATTGGATAATCTTCTTATTTAGCAAGTTAGAGATTAACTCCCAGAGTCCCAGTATCGTAAAAATAAAAATGTTACATTCACATTTTCCCGCTATTTTTCCCCTATAGATTAAAAAAAAAAAAAACAGAAAGGAAATAATAGCAGACTTTGTCACTCAGGAAAAGAAAGAGTTGACTTAAGACAATGTGGGTCTGGGCGCAGTGGCTCACGCCTGTAATCCCAGCACTTTGGGAGGCCGAGGCAGGCGGATCATGAGGTCAGGAGTTCGAGAGCAGCCTGGCCAATATGGTGAAACACTGTCTCTACTAAAAATATAAAAATTTAGCCAGGTGCGGTGGTACGTGCCTGTTGTCCCAGTTACTTGGGAGGCTGAGGCAGGAGAATCTCTTAAACCCAGGAGGTGGAGGTTGCAGTGAGCCTGGATCATGCCACTGCACTCCAGCCTATGCGATAGAAAGAGACTCCTCAAAAAAAAAAAAAAAGAGTGTGGGGTAGGATCTCCAACTGCTTAGGCGAGAGAGGAGGTTAAACAGTCATCACACAAATTCAGATTCTAAGGGCAGGTGAATGAATAGAACCAATAAGTGAAGACCCAGTTTCCAGTTATCTCCATTTATCAATGTCCTTGGCCTAAGTCAATTAGAGTTAATCACTGTGGAGTTAATTACAGTGTCTCTCCTTGCCGTTAACAATATATTCTGTGGTCATCGCATTATTAGAATGGGCAAATTGGTTCTTCAGTTGACAGTGTGACCAGGTCATTAAACAGACAAATCTCCCCGATGAAAAACCTTGAGCGATGTTGATTTTGGTGGAAACATAAAGCCATCCACAAACCATCCTTTCCAGGATGGATGTCAGGTAGTGGGAATTAAGCTCAAAACTGTGACTCACAAACAGTTTAACTTCCTTCAGGTTGATTTTCCCCATTGGTAAAATTCCCATGAATATTCTACATAACCCTTTGATTCTTCCAACATCGTTTTTCCCAAACATCTTTCCTGAGAGCTCTTCAAAAGATGGTAAAGGTACCATAGTAAGATACATGATGTAATGAACTTGACCTCGCTGAGGGGAAAATGGCCATGGTAGCCTGCTTGGAAGAAATATGCAAACCATCTGAGAAAGAGACAGCTCTCTCAGTGTCGTGGGGTTGGAGGTCATGTCTTTCCTTTTCACAACAGGAAGGGCTGGCACCTTCTGCTCTTTCGGTCCTGACAACTGTCTGCTCAGAGCATCAGCCAAACAAGGCCCTGTCATCCCAGCCAGGAAGGATGCGCGGTGCATGGGAGTGGCAGGACATTTGTGGAAGGAGTACAGCCGACCCCCCAGTTTCCTCCAGTCCTTGTCCCCAGGCTGGGGTTCCTTCCAGCACTTGCAGTTCAGCCCTGCTCAGCGTGTTTCTCTGGAAAACAGAACCGTGGGCCTTGTCAGCAACCTGCTGTGTGAGTTGGGTTGTGTGTTTGATCATCGAGGACAGTGTTTCAGCATCTGGAGGTGTGTGTTTGCTTTCCTTAGGTAACCACAAAGTAGTGGTTAGCGTCTCTCTAATTGATAAGGGTGACAGAAGCTGCTGCTGGCTTTAGAATGATGCCTGAACTCTTCTTCTGAAAATGAATGTGGTTAATTTAGTCATGACAGACACATTTCTGACTTCTTCCTCCCTCCTTTTTTCCCCAACGCCACCTTTCCCCATGGTGTTGTGTTTTTGCTTTTGTTTTTGTTTTTGTTTTCCTCTGTCTGGAGACTGAAAGAGACCAGACTGCGCTCAGCTGAAAGCTAAGGGAAGCCTGTGCTGCTCCGCCAGGGCTGAGTATTTTGTTTTCAGCTCCGCGAACTCCACCTGTGTGACTTTTTCTTCCTTTCTTTTTAAAAGTAAACATGGCAGGATGTGTGCTCACCAATTACTGAGCGCACAGAAATACAGGAACTGCTGGGCTAACGAACACGACTTCAAAGGACAGTGGTGAGGAGCCCTTGCCTCCCTGCCAGGCTTGAAAGGGCTGAGCTCTCCAGGGAGGGCAGGGCCCACCCTCAGGGCTCCACCAAAATAGTGACTTCCCAGCCTGTGACTTTCTTAGAGCCCTGAGGAAGGACTCAACGCAGGGAAAGGACGTGATGGCAGTGGGGATTCCCTCTTGCTTTGAGCCCTTCTGAATGCAAGCAGAAAAAGAAACCCTTTTATATTACTTTTTAATTGAATATAATAACAGAAACAATGAAAAGAATGTGACCTTGACTTTGCAACTCTATTTCCCAGGCATATTCCTAACAACACCTAAGAAAGCTAGGATGTAGGTAGCTTTTATCACCTTCGTTCTTTTTAGGTAATGAGTTAGAAGCACAAAGCAGGCAAGAGACCTCGTAACGTCAAATTTAATATTAAGCTGATCTTCTGATGGCCCAGGACATACCCCTGGGTGCTAGAATCTAACACGGAGACATGGATGGTGACGGGTACCTAGTGATCCAGCTGTTGAACTACACACAATTCTGCTGTTGTCCCCGAGGGAGAACTGTTCACTCTGAAGCTGCAGATGCTGTGTTATAGGGTGTTAAAGTCTCTACAGTTTCTATCAATGCTGTTGCATTCATGTTTTATTGCTTCTGCCAAAATACGAGTATTTCAAGGATGAAGTTCATGTTCTCCCACCAGCTCTTGTCTAAAATCCATGCTCAATGAGTATTTACTGTATGCAGGTTATTACTGAAGAGAGGACTTATGTGTTCTTCCCATGACATCAGAATGCAAGGATATTTCTCCAAGAGAGCAGGCTTCTATCTGCAAATGCATTCACCTGAGGATAGTGGTGAGACAGCCACTGAGCCTGGCAAGTCAGCACCACTCCAGGTTGTTGGGCTGAAAATAGACTAGAGAGAGTAATCTCTAGGCCCTCATTTTATAGGCAAAGAAGCTGAAACCCACAGAGGGTAAGCAGTTTCCCCATGTTTACTCTGTCCTTCATTGAGCTTTGTATTGGCTTCGTTGCTCTTAGTGAAAACACAAGGACTGGCCACAGTTAGAGCCGGGGTCCATGTGTGCATCCCAGGCTTCTGCCTCTGACAGAGTTGAGGAACGTGTTGAGAAGGTGTGGTTGCTTTCCTTGACCTTAAACTTAAATAGCGCAGAATTGCTTTGGGCTCAGCGTTTTAATCATGTCACATAAAAATCAGATGCTATCCACAGAGAAGAAAAAAAATCATTTGAAATGTGCATATGAATATTTATTAGAGAAAGAGTAAAGAGTAGATATTACTTCATATGGAAACGAGGAGGCTTGGAGGTGGCTTTAATATGCAGCATCAGTAAGAATCAATGCAAAGAGAATGCTATCTAGCAATTTTAAATGTTCACTCAAAGAGAAATGGGCTTGAATTATAGCAGGAGGATTCCTGTTTAGTTGTTAAAAAAAAGATAAAAAGTAATCAGTAGGTCTCAACATGGACTTACTAAATTCATGCCAGATTCACCTAGTTTCCATTTTTGTAGAGTCCCCAGACTAATGAATTATTAGACCAGTGAGAGAACATGATTTCAATGAGATATCTAACAAAATGGCTCATAACACTCCTATTAGAAACGTGAAAAGTACCTAGTGGGCACCTAGGGGGCAACAATTCCTTCAGATCCAGGAAAAGGGGGTCTTTAGGGGCAGGTCATAGAATTCGGTACTGGATTCTGCCCTAGTCATCAGCATTTCTAGAAATAAATGTCCTTAAGATTTAGAAGTTAGGCCAGATTTATAGCAGACCACACAAAACTCAAAGGGTCAGTAGAATGCAGAATCAAAATGATCATGTAGACTGAAAAACTAGGCCAACGCCAAATTCAGATCTGACTTTGGCAAAAGCCTTTACGCAGAGTCAACAGCTTAACTGGTCCAGGGCCAGGTGGGGAAATCATGAGAACATTATGATGAACAGGACTCCGGGGTTTTAGTTAGTTGACATTTCTATCTGAGTTGGCAGTAGAATGTAACGTCTGCAAAAGTCAGTTCATTCATGGTCTGCATTTATGGACCTTCAGTGCATCTAGAACTTTTACCTTCTGCTTATCAAATAGTATCTGGAAATACTGATTATTCTGGATATGCATTGTAATGATATTGACACTCATGAAAAGATGCTCAACACCCTTCCTTAGTAGGGAAATACAACACAAATCAATAAGCTCTGCTTCACACCCATTAGGATGGCTATTACCAAAAAAAGGGAAGGTGGTGTTGGTGAGGCTGTGAAGATGTGGGACCTTCTTGAATTGCTGGTGGACATGTGAAGTGGTACAGACTCTGAGGAAAACAGTGCAGTGATTCCTCAAAAAGTTAAACAGAGTTACCACATGATCTAGCAATTCCATTCCTGGGTATTCTCAAAATAGTTGAAAATGAGGACTGAGATACTTGTACACTAAACTCCGTGGCAGCATTATTCACCATGGCCAAAAACTAGAAACAGCCCAAATGTTCATCAGCAGAGGAACAAACAAACAAAATGGGGCATATTCATACAATGGAATATCACTCATCCTTAAAAAGGCATGAAACTTTCTGACACCTGCTACGACACAGATGAACCTTAAAAACATGATGCTAAGTGAGATGATCCAGAAACAAAGGACAAATACGCTAAGACTCCACTTATACGAGGTTCCTAGAGTAGTCAAATTTATAGGCATAGAAAGTAGACGAGCAGTTATCAGGGGCTGGTGAGTGGGAGGAATGGGGCGTTAGTGTTGAATGGGGACAGAGTTTGAGTTTGGGAAGATAAAATAGTTCTGGAGATGGATGGTGGTGATGGTTGCACAACAATGTGAATGTATGAATGTCACTGAACTATACAATTAAAAATGGCTAGCATGATACATTTTATATTGTATATATTTTACCACAATAAAAAGGTTATTAAACATAGACTGAGTATCCTGGCAGCAAGAACTAGTACAAAAAGCAAACTGACAAACTTTGTGTGTCTGGGCAAAGATGATCAAGACCATAGGTCTAGAAACTCTGACAAAGAAAGATAACTAAAGGAATTTAGTTATCATTTACTGTCAAGAAGAACAGGCAGAAGAGGGTGCTGGCCACCCTTAATTAGTTGAAGGGATTTCCTGTGGCAGAGGCATTACATGAATTCCACTTATTCAGAGTAACCAGAGGGCAGAATCAGGACCAATGGAAGAAATTATATCCAAGGAGGTAAATTTCAGTGCAGGAAAGAACTTTCAGCCAATTAGAACTATATTTTGAAAAGAAGCAGGGGCACTGCTAAATGCACAACTGAGTGTTCACAGTATACTCAAGAAAGACATTTTATGCAATTTGTGATGCAGAGTGCTGCGCTGATGAGTTCTCTAAAGCAGCGGTCCCTAACCTTTTTGGCACCAGGGACCAGTTTTGTAGAAGCCTATTTTTCCACAGACTGGGGTGGGGAATGGTTTCAGGATGATTCAAGCACATTACATTAATTGTCCACTCTATTTCTATTATTATTACATTGTAACATATAATGAAATAATTACAACTCACCATCATGTAGAATGAGTGGGAGCCCTGAGCTTGTTTTCCTGCAACTAGATGGTCCCATCTGGGGGTAATGGGAGACAGTGACAGGTCCTCAGGCATTAGATTCTCATAAGGAGTGTGCAACCTAGATCTCTCACTTGCGCAGTTCATGATAGGGTTTCTGCTCCTGTGAAACTCTAATGCTGTGGCTGATCTGACAGGAGGCGGGGCTCAGGCAGGAACGGTCACTCACCGCCTGCTGTGCACCCCAGTTCCTAACAGGCCACGGACCACCACTGGTCCATGGCCTGGGGGCTGGAGGACCCCTGCTCTAAAGGGTCAACATAGGTGAATTTAGAAAAGTCAGCATCCTCCAAGTTCTCAGAAACATTCTCCGATTCACTGATGAGTCGTGAAAATATAGTGAGGCAGAATGTTAGGGCCAACAGAAAGGAAAGTAGGGCTCTAGGGATTACAGTCACCAAGGTTTCTACCCTTGTGCAAGAGAACCATCACTTAATACTTAGTCATGTCATTTTCAATTATTAAAAATAAATTCATCACGCCTGTAATCCCAGTACTTTGGGAGGCTGAGATGGGCAGATTGCCTGAGCTCAGGAATTCAAGACCAGCCTGGGCAACATGGTAAAACCCCATCTCTACTAAAATACAAAAAATTAGCTGGGCGTGGTGGGGCGCACCTGTAGTCCCAGCTACTCCGGAGGGTGAGGCAGGAGAATTGCTTGAACCTGGGAGGTGGAGGTTGCAGTGAACTGGGTGACAGAGCGAGACTCCATCTACAAAATAAATAAATGAATAAATAAATTCAAAGTCCTTCATTTCTAGAGAGTATGGAAATAGGTAAAAGTCAACAGCTTAAAATCTGAACTAGGAAAATCAGTCTTATTCCAACTCCGACTTTCCAGAGTCCATGACCAGCTGGCACTAGGACAACTCTGGCAGACTTATGTCACTTTGGTGACGTCAATGTGACATCACAGCCAAGCAAGGAAAGGCCCCCATTATCTTAGTGCCGACTAGATGTTCTAAAGGCAGGAGGAGCCAGGGAGGGGGCATCTTGGTTTGAAAAAGCTTTTCCCCATGTCCTTCAAACTGAGCCATGCCTATGATAGATTTGAAATGCAGCTTTTGTCGTGACATTTCCCAATGGAACAGCTTCTGTAAAACGTTTCCTCTCTCTCTGCTAAGAGGTCATTCCTGTCTGGAATGCCTCCAGTACAAAACTAGCCTTGCTTCTTTAGCTTCCCCGAGGTCCAGCAAGGAAAGACCTGAAATTGGTTATGAACAGGTTGGCCCAGGCTGGCATACCCGTCTTCTGACAATGCCGCCTCCAAGCTCACCCACCTCCAGGCTCCAGTCCTGGCAGCAATGGGAGTTGGACCACTGGAACTAGCACAGTGGGCCTCACCTTAGAGCAGGTACTCCTGTTTCTGAGCCCACAGAGTGAGGCACAATGAAGGGTGTTTCAGCTGGAACAGAAGGCACATCCTTGGGGAAGCCAGCAGGAGCCTTGGTCCCGCTTTCCCTGCTCCTGGAGGCAGTAAGCCCCAAGAGAGCAATTCCCTTCCCTCCTTCTTTTCCTTCCTGTTTTGCAGGAGGCCAGATGTTCTTTTCATGCCACTTAGCTTTTATTTCCAAACCATCCCCGGTGAGGAAGCGCTAAACTGCAGAGGCCTCGGAGGAGGAAGTGCAGGGAAGGGGGGCGCTGTGGAAGAGGAACCAGAAAAGGGGAAAGTTAGCTTGCCCTCCCTAGCCCTGAGTTTGCAAGTATCAAAGTCAAAATGTGTGGCTTCTTTTCTTGGAGCAACTGAGATGAAAGTGTCTTTGAGAGCCCCAGAGAAGTGTCAGATGAATAAGATCGGTCAGTCATCATATCTCTGCAGCAAGGACCAGCGAAGAGAGCTCAGTGGGAGCCAAAGGTCTCCTGACGAAGATCTCACCATAACCAACTCAGCCAGTTGCCATTAAAAATCCTCACAGAACAGCACTTAGTTTACAGGAGCTCAAAGACCTGTGAATGCTTTCAGAATAGATCCCGAGAAAGGAAGAGGTTCTGGGCAGTGCAATGTCCTCAGGTTAGCTTCTGTGGCACCTGAGTTCCCGTTCCCGCAGGGCTGGAACAAGCTGTGCAGCCTTGAGCAAAGGTCTTCACCTCTCTGAGCCCATTTCCACATCTGTAAAGTAAGGACAAGAGACCGACTTGGATATGTCACAAGATGGTGGCATTAAAATGGAGAGATGGAACTTGAAAACACTTTGAAAAAACATCGGATTTTGTTAGTCCTCCTCATTTATTTCCTTAAGAGGTAAACTGAGGTATAGATTAACAAAATGGCTTATTGGTTTCAGTCCTTTTAGAACAAGATGAAATTTTATTTTAGAAAACAAAGCGAGAAATAAAAAAAAGAATCACCAACTTCCCTGCAAGCATTCAACAAATGCCCATAGTATAAAACCAACAAGAGGAGTCAAACCGCCTCTTCTGCATCCCCACCAGCCACACTCCGACACCCCCACTGCGCCCCATCTTTCTGTCCCTGATGCTTGTCAAATTGTTCCATCGTCAGCCCCACCAGAGCTCATGCTACTCTGAGCCCCTGGCTTGGGAGAGCGAGAACTGGGATGGGGAAGGGTATTCTTCCAAAGGCACCGTAGGTATTGTTTTGTTTCTGGGAGGGAAGGTGGTGCCTCCAGCCTCTCCTTCCTCTTGCAGCTCGCAAGCAAACACAGATGGAGGAGATGCTCTGGCTGTTTTTAATTCTGCTTTCTCTCCCAGGGTTCTTACCCAGAAAACCTATTGGAATTTCAAATTTTCAAACCTCAGGAAAGTGTTGTGTCGGGAAGATGATTTGGGGTTGTTTTGTGCTATCAGCTGTGGGGCTGGGACAGGACACTGAAGCCCAGTACCCCATTTGGATACCGCTCTTCATCCTATTTTTGCCTGGGAGAAGAACAGGGAGAACTGGCTGGAGGAAGAGGAGAAGGGGAGCGGAAGAAGAAGAGATTTTTAGAGCATAATAATAAAATCGTATTTTACTATTAGAATAATTTTTTATCTTCCAGAACATGTTTTCAGTTATAGCCTTGTCTGCTTCTTACTAAAGTCTTATGAGGTGTGCTATTCATTAGTCTACAAGTCTGCTGCTGTCATAGGGCTCCCAAGTAACAGTGACTGAAAGAAGACAGTGGACATCCCTCCCATGTCAGAGCCCGGGCTCAGGCAGTCAAGGGCATAGCCAAGGTCATCGCCAAGGTCACTGCCAAGGTGATTTGACACCATCACATCCATGTTCCAGCCAGTGGCAAGTGGCTGGGCCCACCCTGGGGGTTATACCCCTCAGCAAAGGGACATTGAAGGAATCTGTGTCTGGGACCACCCAGGCTCAGTGCAGGTGGGGGATTAGAGCCATGGGCTGCCCGGACCTTCAAATGCCCTCACAGGTGATCATGTTTCACACATTCCATTCTCCTCATCCTCCTCATTCCACGGACACACACAAACCTCCCCACGCACATCTGCTTCCCCAGGGTCCCCCTTACTTCCTACTGTCCCCAAGGGTGACCTAGAACCAGGGGTAGGGCCTGACTCCACTGCTCAGTAGGAAGGAAGAGGGCTTGTGATCCACTGCCATGGCTGCCCTAGGGTGGTGCTCCTAGAACTCCATGTGGGAGGCTGGGGGCATTTCCTCATAGATCGATGGCAAATCCACAGCAGTTGGTTTCGTCAGCTTAAAATGAGTGACAGACAGACTGACTTTCCAAAGCATAGAGCTTATTTGGGAAGAGCAGGGGACTGTAATCGGGATCTGTCCGCTTTGATGGATCTCAGGTGCGTCTAAAGAGGCGCGGCGAGGGGAGACTTCAAAAGACCAAGAGGGGAGGTGGACACGGGCTGTTTTGAAACAGCGCTCAGTGCAGGAGGTGGCCTTGGCGCATGGCTGGAGACAGGCGTGTCAGGCCGGCAGCTTGTCTGGAATACTTTGGTTTTGGGGAATTCCTTGCCTACTTCCTTCGTAACCTCCCAGGTCTTTTTACTTGGGGTTTGACATAAGTGACTCCATTTTGATACTGGTAACTTTCACATTTTCATAGCACCATTTGGTACTGAAAAAAAAATGTATTAATACATATGTGGATTTAACATCATGGGTAACATTTCTATGGAAAAAATGTATATTCCCTCACCTAAACAAATAACTTATTAGTAAAGTTATAAATTTTTGCTGTTTCTTAAATTGGGAATCTCCCATTATGAGGATTGGAGGATTCTTGGAAACAGGAACTATGGCTTAGATACCCACAATACTTTCCACATATGGAACTCCTGATAAGTTGGTATTAGGTGAAAGAGAGACTTGTTAAATTACCAAATGTTATCAAAACTGGGCATCCGAATGGTGCCAGGTGATACCTGGGACCAGGTGAACAGAGAGGTCTTGTAGTGGAAAGAAACTAGTGTCAGAGTCAGCAGAAGTGAGCCAGGTTACTTACAAGCTCGGCAGCCTTGGAGAAAGTGTTAATTTCTGTACACATCCATTTTTCCCTTCTTTATAATGGGAACAATTCATCCTACTTCACAAAATTGTTAGGACTTCAAACCGAATAAATATATGAAAAACATTTTCCCTTTTTGTTACACAGAATTATTTTTTAAAATTTGAATTGCACATTCCAAAAAGAACTAGTTAAAATCAACTAATATCCAGTATACTGAAAGATAGCATTTTACTCCAAATTTTTTCCCACTGACAGATTTTTATCTTTGTAATGAGTTTATATATATATATATATATCTATATATATATATATATAGATATATGTTTCTATTTAACTTTTAAGTATATTCTGTAAATATCTTTGTTTCAATAAGTAATAAGCCACTGGTTATAAAATATTCCATTATAGTTACATGCCATTATATATTTAAACAATATCTTATTTTTGAATCTTCAGGCTGTTTCTAGTTTTATTATTATTAAACTGTGCTGCAATGAACAGTCTTGTAAGTATATTTTCTTACACTTTCCTTATCACTTTAAAGTCATTTAATACACATTTCCTTCTATAAAGCTTGTAGAGGTCTCTTATCCAAATTGCTATGGCGAGATCTGCTTCATAATTCATATTTTATAAAGGTAATAAAGTTACATGCTGTATATTACAAAATTTTCCCAAAAAGCTATGTACTGGGGAAGGATATTAAGAGTCATGTTCAGTAGAATAAATAGACTGTAAAGAGCTTCATGTCAGACTTTGGATTTTGCTACAAAATTAGTTTATATCACAGAATAATTATTTTCTATTTTTAGAGCTTTTTGGCATTTGGAATCACAGAGAAGGGATTAAAGACCTGGATGATTTACCTATCTTTTATTTCTAGTAAAATGGAACTTGTTTTATTGGCCCTTGATAACTTTACTTTTGTAAATTGCCTGTTGTTAGCCTTTGCCCATTTTTTCATTAGGGGATTTGCCCTTTTTAATGATATTAAATAATTAAATATTTTGCCACATATTTTGCAATTATGTCTCCCAGCTTTACGTGTATTAATAACACACAAGTTTTATGTAAAATAGTTTGGAAATGTTTACCTTTTTGGGGCTTGTCTGTGGGATCATATCTAAGAAGTCATTCCTAATTCCAAGAGGGCATAATTATTGATCTATGTTACCTAGTACTTTTAGTGGTTTAGCAGTTTTATTTCTGGATGAATATCTTCAATCTGTCTGAATTTAGTATTATATTAGCTTTAATGTAGGTTTTAGCTGGTAGACACAGTCTCATTCATTAAGCAATCTTTCCCTTTCCCGTTGAGTTTAAATACCATCTTCTTTAAACACAAAACTTTTATATGTAATTGGATCTGTTTCTGGACATTCTGTTTTGTTCCGGTAACCTGTCCATCTCTTTTGCTGCCAGAACCACATTATTCCCATTATAATATCTTTATTTTAATACCTATTAGGGCTGGGAGAAGGAAGGATGAAGAGACAGAGGGCATTTTTAGGGCAGTGAAACTTCTGTGTGATCCACTGTAATGGTGGATCCATCTCATTATCCATAGAATGTACAGCGTCAGGAGTGAACCCAGGCCAGGCACAGTGGCTCGTGCCTGTAATCCTAGCACTTTGGGAGGCTGAGGCGGGTGGATCACCTGAGGTCAGGAGTTCAAGACTAGCCTGGCCAACGTGGTGAAACCCCGTCTCCACTAAAATACAAAAATTAGCCAGGCATGATGGTGGGTGCCTGTAATCCCAGCTACTCGGGAGGCTGAGACAGGAGAATCGCTTGAACTCGGGAGATGGTGGTTGCAGTGAGCCGAGATCATGCCACTGCACTCCAGCCTGGGCAGCTGAGCAAGACTCCATCTCAAAAAAATAGAAGAGTGAACCTGAGGTTCACTTATGGACTTTGGGTGATAATAACATGCAAATGTAGACTCATCCCCAGCTCTGGTGGGGGATGTTGATAATGGGAGGAGCTCTGCATCTGTAGGCACAGGGGTTAAGTGGGAATTCTCTGTACCTTCTTATTTTACTGTGAACCTAAAACTGCTCTAAAAAATAAAACCTATTTTTTAAAAAAACAAAATCTAAACATTACTTTTGAAGTCATAGAGCTTAGATTCAGGGGGGAATATGAAAAAAATAGAAAATTAGAATAGATTGCAATTTAGCAAGTATTGCAGTAAAACAGGATCCACAGAATAGTGCTTCTTTAACTCTGTGGTAAAGGGCCAGTGAAGAAATAAATTACCAATATCTCTTAGATTTAGCAGCCTCTTAGTTATTCTCATCTTTGAAAAGCTATTTGTAAACTGTAAAGTGCTCTTGCCTATTAGTTATTTGCCACTAATCTATAATGGACTCCTTTTAAAAATGAAGGTATTCACTCCATCTACCTTCTGCTCTGGAGAATAATGAAATTGCAGTTAAAAAATGCTGTCATGTTCTCTTGAGAGATTGGTGTCTTGTAAGAACAGGCTGAAGTACGTTTCAGACAAGATTGGGTGCAGTCGGGGTGGGATGACTGTAGACTGAAGCACATGTCAAGATTGGGTGCATTCGGGGTGGGATGACTGTAGACTGAAGCACATGTCAAGATTGGGTGCAGTCGGGGTGGGATGACTGTAGACCGAAGCACATTTCAAGCAATGTCTCTTGTCACAAAATAATCTGAATGGCTCAGGACAAATTCACCAAGTAAAGTAGAAGCTTGACATTTGCCAACTATGTATCCCATAACCAAGTACTGTTTTTAAACCATGTTTTTCTTAAAGAAGCTAAGCTTTTAATCTCTTCATATTATATGCATATGATGAATATAGAAAAGCCCCTTTTAAAGTATGAAGAATGAGCATTTCACCCGGCCACTGGCTGATTGAATGCCAGCTACTGCACTGGATGCTGCTACACTGCTCAGAAATCAGTACAAGTCACAAGCATTAAGTCTGATAGGGTCCGACATCTGGCCGATTAAACAATCCTTCGGCATATGTAATATTAATACTCTGTGCATGAGCAAATCCAATCACCTATTCAAATCAGATCCTCACTGAGTGATGCCTGGAAGAGTCAAACACTGGCCCGGCCAAAAGAGGACCGAGGGAGGCGCTGGGAGAACTGGCTCCTAATCCCTTCCTGCTGCTAATTAGGTAGATAGCTTTGATCACTCACCTTAATTTTCTGAGCCTCAGTTCTCTCTTCTGTTACATGAGAGGGCAGACCACGAGATCAATAAGGGCACTTTCAGCTTTCAAAATGAAAAAAACAAAAAAACAAAAAACAGATCCACTAACTGATTTATTTCCTGTCTTATTATAATGGATTCATCCATTTACTTATTCCAAAGATGCTTATTATGAACATCTTACATGGTCAATTCCTGTGCCACGTGTGGTCCCTAAATGAGAAGGGAATATGGGAAAGAGAGAGAGACAGAGTCCCTCAATCTACCTTCTTCCATTCTCTGGGTGGGGCCAGAATTCACTGAACATGAGGAAGTGATGAGAAGTGGTGAGGAATGGGTTGGGGAGATATTCTCGGCATTGCCATTTATTTAGAACAGGGTTTCTCAGCCTCCGCACTATTGGTTTTGGGGGGGTGCTTGGGGGACTAGCCTGTCATCGTAGGTTGTTGAGCTGTATCTCTGACCTCACCCTACTAGATACCAGAAGCACACCCTCCCGCCATTTGTGACAACCAAAAATATCTGTCTCCAGACATTGCCAAATGTTGCTCAGAGGAGCAACATCACCCTCTGAGAACCACTGATTTAGAACCACCAGGCACTGTGCTGGATTCTGAGCAAATAGAAACGAGAAAGCTGCTGGCCTGGCCTGGTGGAGCTGACTCCAGGGCAGCTTTGCGAACTTCAATATGCATCCGTTCCCTGGCGGCCTTGCTAAAGCTCCATCCTCACCCCAGAGCTTCTCACCCAGCAGCTCTGGGTGGGGCTGCAGGATTTGCATTTTTAAAGAGGTCTCAGGGATGCTGATGTTGCTGTTTCTCCAGGACCATCTCTGAGAACATGTGGGCTCCACCCTGCTGACAGGTGAGAGTACAGATGTCCTTTTCTCACATCATAAAACAACTTAATAGTTTTCTGAATTCAGAAATTAGGCCTCCAGTGGATACTCAGCCTACAGTAACTCTGAAACGTCACAGTGAGGAGGAAAAATAGAGAGTCCCGTAAGCTAGAACAATGCCAATGGGTGGTCAGTTTCATATATTCCTTTTGGCTCCTTTCTGAATTAGCAGATGAACGGTCAGTGAAGGGGCTGGCCTAGGAACCTAAGTATTACCTAATTTTAGAGTTTCTGTGGATTCTAAACCCCAAACAACTGCAGCCAAGTTTTTACGACACTTGCATTTGTAAGCTGGCGACGTTTCTGACTGCAACTGGATGTGAGCAATTCACATTGCCCTAAACGCATGCATCTGCCCAGATAGACCCAGCTCTTTCTTTCTGCACTTTCTTTCTCTTCCCCCGGTGCCCTTCCCTAGTCCACCCTGTCCCTCTATTTGCAACAACCCCCCCTGTGACTGTGATAGCCCAGTCCCCCGTTGCCGGGCAGAGCCGGCACATGCGGGCTTCCGTAGAGTATTCTCTATAAAACTGTTAGCTCACTGCGGACTGAGCACTGCTGCTTCCGCTTGCTGTATTGATACTACCAAATACTGTATTTTCTTTGAAAAGTGTCACACGCCCGCGGGAGGAAGTGGGGTGTGGTGTCACAGCAGCATAGGAGGACAGGAGTGTTTTTGCTACTGGTGTACCCAAGGGCGACAGCTCACTTTGCCATTTCTTGCTCTGACTCTGACGCCAAGTTCATGGGAACCAGCCATGTCTCTATTCATGGGATCAAAGGTTAAGAAAGTGGAGCCCAGGCTCTCGAAGGCTCCTTCTCTGACCGCGCCCTAGGAAGGAGAGGTTTGCCCCATACCTACCCCATGATGTGTTGAGAACATGACCCTGTCCCATATGCATATCCAGTGCAGTGCTTTGCAATATAGTAGGCAGATATTCCAAATGCTTCGTGACTAACAGCAAAAAACAAATGTGTGTGTCACTTCATCCCCTTGGCAAGTGGTTCAGAGGTGTTCTGGGCCATGTCTGATGACCCATGAAACAAGTTCCTATGGTATTTTCATGAGGGAGAATTTCTAAGGATGTTTTAGAAAAGTGTGGTGTGATCATCGTAGCCATCTTTTCCACCAAACACTGTCATACGCATTTTCCATGGATTAATTCATTAAATCATCACAACACAGACATAGACCCAATCCTTCATAGACCCTGATGAAGTGGGTCCATTATATACCTTGTTTTGCAGATATGATAATGTAGTCACAGAAAGATTAAGTCACTTGTCCAAGACTGTACAGCTTGGAAACTGATAGAGCTGGCCTATACTCCATGACACCAACATTTACAAACTGCAAGCTCCTTCACATGTTAACTCCTTCCTGGGTCTCTGTGCCTTTTTGAACTCGGCCATGCAAAGGTTCGAGAATGGCAAAGCCTCATGCCCAGGGGCTTCAGATCCCCTTCTCAGTCTAGGTACCCTTTGACCAGAGCACCTGAGTCCCTGGCCCCAACTTGACGCCCCTGTTTTGGGTGGTGTGCTCTTCCTCACTGAGCACCTACATGACAGGAAGAAATGTCAGGAGGACTGCAAGGGATCCAGCATCTCAGTTAGAGCTGCTGGGTCACAAGATGGTAGAGTCAGAGAGAAGGTTGTCTTTTCAGAGTAAATTTTGACACAAGAAGCAGAGTCCTACATTTCCATTTACTCCTACAGAAGGCAGCATCTTTGTGTCTAGTAAGTGATTATCCTAACCATGGTTAGAAAATGATGCCAGGGAGGCTGAGTTCCTCCCAACTTTATCTGATGAAGTTAGCTTCTTTCTAGACTTTGTCCATAGAAATCCTCATTGATCCCAATCAGCCACTTCTAAAGGCATGAATGGCAGAAGCTTGGAGGGAATTGCACAGGCTTATGACATGCTGAGAAAATTACCCAGATAGGCACAGGCGCCCTGACATCCAGAAGAGAACTTAGGGTATTCCGAGAAACTCCATCTCTGTTTATATCACCCAATTCTTCATTCTTCAAACCACAGCCATGGAGTAGAAAGAAAGATCATTAAGCCCCAGGTACAAGGAGAAACATCCTAATAGTGCTTAAGATAATTAAGCAAGTTGCCAGGAAAGCCTGTCCCTACAGTCATAACATGTCCTTTGCAAGTAGGGACAGGTGGGAGCAGACAGAAACAGTCTACAGCGAAAACTCTATGCATTCATGTCCTCCCTGACCTAACCTTCAAAGACATTTGCTAACAAGAAATAACGTATTAGTTTGGGTGGAGACACTTAGCCACCAAAGCTGGGTTCAGGTGCTGTTGCTTACTCACTGTGAGTCCTTTGCACAGTTTTGTGGGTTGTGGGAGATCCAACACATAAGCCCTCTTGGCTATGCTTGTGCTTAGAACAAACGGAGAGGCAGATCAGGAGACAGGGAGATGGAGAAGCATGTCCACCAGTTATAACAAAGGCCAGATCGATGGAGATGGCTAAAACGTTCAGGCAAATAAGTTGGTCGTCTGTTCACAGCGTCCCAGGCGATGCTGGACTGTGTCAGGGACCCTCTCACCCCTGCCAACCGAGGAGGATGCGCCCCCACCCCACCCCAGCCTATGACATGGCCAAGGATAGTGCAGAAATGGTTCTGCAGATCAGCAGATCCTGCAACATGAGAAGAGGAGGGTGGAGATGGGTGGGAACGGTTTATTCATGTAGAACATGTTAACCAAAAAATGAGTGACTGAGGCAAGTTTCTCTATCAGTTGAGGTTTATTGAGCTAAAGTTTGAGGACACACCCGGGAAAAACACCAGCCCCAGAAGCACCTGTGACCTGTGCTTTCCAAAGAGGGTTTTAGGAACTCAGTGCTTAAGGAGAGGGGGCAAGCAGGAGGGAAGAGGGAGGAGGGAGGCAGTGAGGCTCTAATTAGCGCTTACCAAATCCATGTCTTACATAAGATAAGGTAAATGTGTGAGAACAGGGAGCAGAGGAACAAATCCATTATGCACCTGCCTCAGAGTCAGGAGAAGAGTGACTGATCTCAGCTGGCCCTTCTTCTGTACCTGGGAAGATGAGCTTGAAATCAACATTGTCAGTTGAGTTCCTAAAACAGAACTCAGTTTTAGAAGTTAAGCTTAGGTTGCAGTCCTAGGGTTGCAATCGGCATAGGCTTGTTTTGTAGGGGAATGTGGATCCTGAAGGATTTAGGGGCCAGAAAGGAATTTCCTCGTAAGCAGTGTGTGACGGTGGCCATCTGGGAGAAGCTCGGGGCCTTTTGTCATTGTGGGAGCCTGGCTTACGTAGAATGCTGTGACACAGGGTTGTGAAGTGACCGCTGTCTCCTGGGGAAAAAGAATGGCACGGTGGCAGGACTTGGCTTCCAGGCTTACCTCTCCCCTTGGCATAACTGGTTTGGGGGGCCTGAGATTTTATTTTCTTTTACAAACGTATCCATCAGATCAATCACTCTTCTTCCTGGGGTACAGGGATGAGGAGTGAGGATAGGTTAGAGGGATGCAAGCCTCTCTGTTTGAAAACACAGGGAGGGAAAATATGAGCCTTCTCATAATGACCATGATTAGCAACTGCTCGGTAAGTGATGGGTGCTGTTGTCCTCATAACCAACATCATCATCATTACAGTTTTTATATCTTTTACTGACTGCTGTTTTCTAGATATGGAAATTATATGACATAGACCTCAAATATCTAGTCCCATGATTCCCAATAAGTACCCACTTGCCCAAGAAGTTTCAGTACCTGGCTGCTGAAAATACAACTTTTACATCCTTAGTTCATGTGTCTTAATTCTTGATTCAGAAAAGCTATCAACTGTATTCTCCATATCTCAAAGTTAACGTGTCCAAAATAAAATGTCTCATCTTCTCATGCCATCTAGTTCTTCCCGCAGTGCTCCCATCTTGTGAATGGGGATGGCCTCCTACCATGGGTTGGGGCCCCAAACCTTGAGGCCGCCCTGCTCCTCCTTTTCCCTCCCCTCATCTTCAGTGGCTTGGTACATCCCATCAAGAGATATCGGAATCCCTGCACGCTGCCAGGGTCCTTCTGCTGGTGCCCTCCGACCATCAACTGGAAGAGTGAAGTCGCCCCCAGTAGTCTCTCTTCTTCTGCACTTGCTCCTTACAGTCCTCTCAACACAGGGACCAGGGTACCCCCTTTCTAGGTGTAAATAAGTCTGCTCTGCACTCAAAGCTGAAGACAGCACGTAGACCCCTCGGGCGGTGTCCTACCTGAACTCCAAGTTCTCACCATGGCCTGTGGACAGCCCCATGGGCACACCCACCTCGTCTGTCTTCTCTACCCCTTGCTCAACTCCACGCAGCCCATCCGCCTTCCCAGAACGTGCTTGGCAGCTCCGACCTCACACCCATGTTTCGGCCGGGAACGTTCACCTGCCATTGTCTGTGTGACTCAGTCCTCTCCTCGTGCAGGTCTTTACTCAACGTCATTTCACAGAGACCCTTCAGGACCAGCAAAGCCCTCCCTGCCGCCCCACCCAGCACTCCCCACCTCCCTCCTCTGCTTAGTTTGTTTCATGGGAGTCACCTGGTGTATTTCATATTATATTCTTCTGCTTTCTTGTCTGTCTCGTGCATCTGGACCTCTGCACAAAGGATGGGTTTTGTCTCTTTGGCTGACTGCAGTGTCCTAAGACACTTAGTGCCTAGTAGCTCTAGTAACTGTTTGTTGAATGAATGAATGAGTGAATGGATGCATAGTCACTAAATCAGAAATCGTGGATACTGTAATCATAGAACATTAGGTCATAAATACCAAGGATCCTGAGGAAGAAGAAGAAAGAATATCTATGATTTGGACAGCCATTTTTCCAATTGTGGAACATTGTTTAGCATTTCAAATAATGAAAATAAACACATATAGAAGGCTTACTATGTGCTGGGCATTGTTCTGTTTTATACATATTAACTCGTTTAATCTGTGCAATGCACGTAGGAGTTTATGGAGTTTCCTCATACCTTATCTCATTCAGTTCCCAAAATAATACCAGCAGATTGTGGGTGATTACAACATTTTCAAGGATTCTTCCCCAGGGCAGCTGCTTGTGGGAGAGCTGAGGTCTAGAAAGGAGGAGTTGAGAGCAGGAAAGGAACCAAGCCTGACCCCACCCCCATGCCAGCATTTTGATTTATGGAACCCTGGGAGAAGAGTTTCTCCAAAATGATACTTCATGGCCTCCAGCAGATCCCCCTCAAAGAAACCAACCTGGGAATGACCCTCTGTGTGGAGATCAAGGAGGAAAGAGGCAAGTGAGCCTTTCTTTTCTCCTGCTCGTGGACTTAGAGTAAGAGTGTCTGGGACATCCAGGTATATACTATTTCCATTTTTCCTTTTGACATCTTCGATGATCAAGATACCTGCTAAGGATTTGTTCAGAAATCAGAATTAGTTGTAAGGCAGTTGCCTGAACAACTGAAAGCGTAATGACCCCACAGAGAGCACTAAGGCAACAGAAAGTACGGCGAGGTGGGATTATTAGGTTGGTGCAAAAGTAATTGTGGTTTTTGCCAATACTTTTAATGGCAAAGTTTTTTTAAAAAGTATTTTTAGTAGAGGCAGGGTTTAGCCATGTTGATCAGGCTGGTCTTGAACTCCTGACCTCAGGTGATCCGCCTGTCTTGGCCTCCCAAAATTCTGGGATTACAGGCATGAGCCACCATGCCCAGCCTTTTTTTAAATTTCCATTACTTTTAATGGCAAAAACTGCAAATTACTTTCACACCAAATTAATAGGATATTTGATGAGTTTTAATATAATTATCGTTTTTACCACAATTGACCTTCCCCTACTCTTACCCTCAAAAAAAAAAAA